>NC_000003.12:126735877-126887392 GCF_000001405.40 Homo sapiens | reverse complement strand
CCTCAGAGGAAAAGAAAAATCATGACAATGAAAGTTAGCACTTTTAAAGCACTGATTATATGCAGGGTCATTAATCCTCACAGCTATGCTATTCAGCAGGAATTATCAATAGCCCCACTCTATAGATTAAAAAAAAAAAAAGATGCTCAGCAAGAGTAAGTAGCTTGTCTGACGTCACACAGTCAATCAAGTGGCACTGCCAGGATTCCCATTCTGGCCTTGCTGACTATCAGGTGATGGCTTTCCATTCTGCTATGCTGATTCACAGCATAAAGACCAGGAACACACACAAAGCTCAAACACACAGCACAGATACAAAAATCTGAAAGACTACAGATAGAACATTTATCAAACTTTGCTATCAGAAGCAAACAATTCCTAGTCCAGTGCTAGGTAGCAGCCTAGAAAGCCAATGAGCAACCAATAAAAGTGAAAAGGAAACTGCAGTGTTGATGAGACGAGGGGTGAAGGGAGGGTGGAAGGGAAGCTGGGGCTTCTGATGGGGTGGGGTCACACTGTGTTGCTAGAGTCCACAGAGTGAGGCTGAATCCCATCTGACAGGGGCACTGGCCTGGGAAAAGGGCTGGAAAGCTCCTAGGCACCTCAGGCTCCTAGGTTGTAAATGGCAACTTGGAATGAGTTCCAAGGAGGTAGGAGACCAGGACCCCAGCAGTACATTGCTTCTTCCTTCGATTCCTCTGGGATCCTGATGCCCTTCAGGTTCTAAGTCTATTTGCTCTCTGTGCAGTTGTGAGGGAAATATATGCTGAGAAGCAGTGAGCAGGCAGGGCTGAACGGGAACGAGGGGAAACAGAGTCACAATGGGAATGAGTCCCAAATGGCCCCTCTGGTGCTCTGAAGCCATTACAAAGTAAAATAGGGTTAGGTGAACGTAAGCACTGCTACACCCAGACAGCTGGTCTGATAACTCAGATGGCTACTGAGTGATAACCGGCAGTAGTGTCTACAGCGTAGATGTGCTGGACAATGGATGATTCATGTCCTGGAAGGGGGAGAGGGGGAGATCCCATCACACTCCTAAGAACAGCATACAATTTAAAACTTACAAGCTGTTTATTTCTGAAAATTTCCACTTAATATTTTTGGACTGAGGTTGCCTATAGGTAACTGAAAACTCCAAAAGAGAACTTGTGAATCAGGGGAAACTACTGTTGCTTTATATCTATAAAAGTTTGTTATTAAAGGAGCTTCTATCTCTAAAACAGAATGGGCCTTGGTAATGCTGTTTAAATTCAAGTGTGTTTTGCACTTAAACAGTGTTCATACAGCAGTCTTTTACTGAAATTGTTACAATCTAGCAGCCTCCCCTATCTGTGACTCTCATCATTCCCACGGGAGACCTTGGCCTTCTTTCTAGCATGGCTGCAGTGCTCCACTCCACTGCCCGTGCCCGTTCCGGCTCAGAGTTAGACTCCTCAGGAGGCTTGGTTCCCCCAGCACCAGCCCTTCTACTTCTCATCCTGGGAATTCTGTCCTTCCATGTCTCCTGTCAGCATCATCCCTCCTATGGTTTGACTCCTTAGAGGCCTCTTCTCCTCATTTTGGAGAAGCCAAAGAGAGTAAAAGTGACAAGGCAAGATGACATACAAATTCACACCTGTTTTATGTGCAAATAATAACAGGACAGTCACTTTCCCTTCTGCCCAAAGAGAAGAGAATCTTCAGAAGCTGTTGACAGCAGATGAGGTGCTGCTGGGAGTTAGAGTAATGGTTCTTTAGATATACACCACCTTCCTGAAATTTTACAAATTAATCTTACATTACTCTCTGAAAGAGCTCATATCTCTTACAATATGAACTCAGTCACATTTTGAGCAAGAATTTTTACACAAAACATTTTTCAAACGTGATTCAACTGATTTTGAAATGCATGTTTTAAAATTAATTTCCACTGAGGTGCTGGATTCTTTAAAGGAGTGCAGGCCAGTGTGCAGCTACCAGGAATCTTAGTAAAACGGGGCTCAGTTCTCTCTGATAAGAAGTGGAAGAAAGCGGAGTTGGGCCAGGACAGGATTCAAAGGAAGGAGAAAAAAAATAATCGTGTTCTCCATATCTGAAAGTCACAACTCTGATCAAAGAATAGTTTCTCAAAGGAACAGTAGATCCTCCAAACCCTGACACCAAGTATTCAAAACTTAAGACTGAACAGGAGGCCCACGTTGACTGGAGCTGGAAGGACCAGCCAGCATTGTCAACTCCTTGCTCCTTCAAATCTCAAAGCCCCTCTTTCCAGGTAAAGATTCACCCTGGAATGGGCACAGCACTGGGCCTGGGAGTCTCAGAACTGGCTTTCTACACACTTGCCCCCTGACACCAGTGCCACGACTGGCCTTCAGGTCAGCGAGATGGGGCGTTCACTAAGGCACTCTTCTACTCCTCAGTGGAGAGGAGAGGAAGTCAGGAAGTGCAGAGACATTGAGGATCTCCCAGGAACCTCCACCGGCACAAATGGTGGATAACCCAACAACACGTCGGCAGTCACCAGAGGGGCAGATCCATGCCCCAGAGAATGGTGACTTTCCAATAATCTGATTTTTTATGTCAAAATGTGGGATGACAGTAGGACACTATAATTTGGTCTCTTGTATTAAGTATCCCACCTGTCTGATGTTTTGGAGTTTCAGACTTTCTTGAAAATCAAAGGAGGAATGGAGGTTGAAACAAAAGACAAAGAATTTTAAAAACTGCTAGATCAAATTTTCTAATCATCCTTTTCCACACCCGCCTCTTTCATGAACCCTCTTTACTACTCCAAATAATTCAAAACAAGTTCAGTTCCTATGGTCAATTATCAGTGAAAACAACACACCTGCTTTTGTTTCTCTTTTCCTTCACACAGATGAATTTTTTTCATGGTTTGTCAACTCCTATGAATTCCAATTTCCAATTTTAGAACAGTTTCAAAATGTTGGTAGATAGCTGGATTTGTGGGGCTAATGTAGCTCAATATATATATAGTATAAATTATTAAGTTAAAATAATTCCCTCTTTGATTGCCAAAATTACCAACATTAAGTACACAAATGGTTCTTGCTGAATGTTTAGTAAGGGGTGTAAAAGACTCAGCTGGAAAGATTTCTTTTTTGCAGGACGCTGCCTAATCTACATAGGAAAGAGAATTCGCCTGTGATGGGCACCTACTGTATGCCATCCCCAAGTGCTTTCATAGAGTCTATGCCACTTCACACATAGAACCCGGGGCTTGGAGCTGGCCAGTGCGGGAACTAGGACTCAGATCCAGCTGTGTCCCAGTCAAGGCCTGCACCATTCTTCACCAAAGAATTCTTTTGAAAACTTGATACAAAGAAAAGTAACAGATTCAAATGAGTATTTTACTCCCCAAAAATGAATGCCCTGAATAGCTAAGACTTGAACTACAGAAATGGGAACAGAAGACAAAATAAATCTGTAACCCATCAGTGAATATTTGCTCTCCAAGCTGTGCAAATGCAAACAGGAAATGTCACAAGAACTGAGAAAACCTACAGATTTTAACATAAGCCTGATGTTTGGGGGCTTTGAAAAGGTATTTTCTAAAAGGTTCTATTTTCATATCCACAAATACAGCCCAGAGTATGCAGAGACAGATACTAAGCATTATTGCATAAAGAAAACAGGCTTAGAATTAGAAACCATGGCACACGGGTTGTGCTGGGGCTGTGTGACACCCTGTAATTTGGTCAAAGGCAGCAGGGGCCCAGAGTGAGGACAGCAGTGATGGCCGTGGCTGGTAATCCGGGCAGAAAGGTTTGGAGTACGCCTTAGAAGATGGTCTGTTCCCACAGCCAGCCTTCAAAACACTGTGTCTGGAAAAACTCAAACCATGTTTCTTCTGCCATCACACCACACAGCAGTTGACACAGAAGACTTCTGTGACTCAGAATATGTGGGGATTTCTCTCCATCAGCAAGCAAGCAATCAATTCTGCAGCAGACACCAGCTGGGTGTCCTCCAATTCTATTGCGACACCATCTCCCTGAAGACAGTGGCAGATCCCACAAGTTGAGGTCTCAGTCCCTAAAATTGCCCCACCTCAGATACCAGTCACAGGACCTCCGGAACTTCTGACCAATCGGCTTCGAGTTGGGGTTCCCACAGCCTCCTCTTGGGATTCAATTAGCGCAGCTCACAGAACTCGGGGAAACACAGAGGTGTACCAGTTCACAAATCGAAGAGGCCTGTAGGGAGGTATGGGGAAAAGGGACGTGGAGCTTCCATGTCCTCCTTGGAGCACCACACCCTCCAGGAACCTCCAAGTGTTCAGCTACCTGGAAGCTCTCCAGCCAATCCTTGTTTGGGTTTTTATAGAGGCTTCATTATGTAGGCAAGATTGATTAAACCATCAGCCATCAACTTAACTTCAGCCCCTTTCCCTTCCCCAGAGGTATGGGTGGGGCTGAAAGTCCCAACCCTCGAATCCTGCATCTGTCATTCCAGTGAGCAGCCTCAACCTGAAGCTGCCTAGGGGCTGCCAGCTGTCAGTCATTCACAGCACAAAGAGAACTTATCATTTTGGAGATCCTAAGGATTTCAGGAGTTGTACGCCAGAAAATGAGGGCAGAATACCAAATATATATTTCACAGTATCACATGTGGGCTTCCTCAAATCAAGGAGCCCTCTGTACAAGGAGCGTCCTGGCTCTTCCAGAAGTCTTGCATGTGTGATAATTGCCTTAGAAAGGTTCAAGTTGCTCTTGTATAAAGTGGAGGTAACTTTGCTTCCTTCACAGATTGCTGTGAGGAGTAAAAAAGGTAATTTCTGATATGTGCCTAATATAGGGCCTGGCGATAACAGGTGTTAAATGAATTGCAGCTATCATGATTATTATCATCAACAGATGATTCGTAAAAGAAATTAATTCATAAATATCTGAGAAAATGAATTGGAGTTGAGGCCAGAGACAGAGTTCACATCAGAGGAACCTCTGCAGCGGAGAACCAGGACTTCTGTTTCTTAGTAGCACAACCAGAATCTTCACAGCACCTTCCTCTTGATAAAACCCTTTCATAGCAGTTCCTCTTCCATCCTGACACAGCGGCCAAGGTAGGCATCTCCATGCGTGAACAGAGGCTCAGAGAGGTTAGAGACGATGAGGCAAGGCGGAGAGGGAGGTCCAGGTGGAAATGTAAGAGAGGTACTCTTGCCACTACTCCACACCGCTTCCTGCTACCTGCTGATACCTGGGGATAGCTTGGGGCTCTGAGGGTATCTGGCAGACGCCCCTGACGGCAGTAACTTAAGCATACCCTGAGAAGGACACTATGGGCTATGAAGGATGTGTGTTTGGAGTTCCGAGATAACAAATCAGGGAGTGGCCAACCCAGAGATTCATTCCTTATCTACAAAGGACATCTGAACTCCTGGGCCGTCCTTTGGAATCCAGGACGTGAAAGGAACTGAGACCCTTGTTTAAGTGGAAGGTACTAGGAGGAAGGTGCTATGTAAACTGCATGCTTTTTACAAATAGTAGCAGTCACCCCACCCAGAGCCACCTGCCAGGGCAGCCTGGAGACCCCACCTTCAGATGCCCTCCCGCAGTACCTCGTTCTTTCTTTTGTCAGAGCACTTATCTATTAAAAAGTTCAATTAGTTTTAATTTTAATCAAAGAACTATTTTAATCAATAGTCATTAAGTGCAAAAAGATACAACAAAACACAGCGGTGCCCCATCCACCCTTCCAATACTCCAGCCGACTCCTTCGAGAAGCTCCTTTCCATCCCCTCAGCACTAACTCTGGGGCTCTGAATTCTATGTTTTTACAGCAATCTTGAGATGCAACGACTTGTGGTATTAGTGATTAATTTCTCATGATGGGCAATGAGGGTCAGCTCTCTTACACCTTTTCTCACAAAAGTTTTGCTATACACTTGTATTAAATCAATATTCATTCAAGTCTGTCAACACACATAGGGCCCTGCTCAATGGGGGGCTTGGGGCGAGTAGCCAGGAGAAGCTGCGCTCAGCATGTCCAGCACAGAGCCCTGTGGAAAGGCAAACAAAGGAAACCACTCAGCACTGGGGGAGACACCAGGACCCCAAGAGAGGCAAAGGGCATAGTGTGGGGTGGGGTGCCCAGAGGAGGGGCAGAGCAGTTCAGTGCCTAAGGCCACAGGGAAGGAAACAGGCTCTACCCATTGTATTTTGCATTCAGGAACAAATGTACAGAGCAAGCCTGGGAGGCCTACGAGGACAGTTGGAGAGTGCAAGCAAGCCTGGGGCAAACAGCCCATATGCGGGCTTGGCAGCCATTAACTTTCTTTTGAGGAAGCTTTCCTGGCCACAGACTGTGTCCTCCCATACAGGTCGGCAGTTCTGCAAATGTGTGCTCTGCCCATTTAGAATCTGACTCAGAGATCTTTCCTCCTATGACATCTATGATTATTGCTGTTGTCCATTTGCTCTGGGGTTTCTTTGGGGATCCCAAGGACCAATTCTGTGCATTAGATCCATGTTCCAGCCTCCACCTCAACAGCCTGACTCACAATGTCAGAAACCGAGGCAAGGAACCTTTGATCATTTTCACTATTTCTTGTTTCATGACTTCCTTTAATTTCCTTGAGTACACATTTTCCAGTAAAACATGAAAAAAAAGAGATGTTTTTACCTTGAGCACTGTAACTCTCTTCTAATGCTATATACTTTTTACATGCCTCTTGCTGGGCTTTTAAATTTTCCCTTTTACTCATCCTTAAATAACTGATTTCTCTAAGCCTAGAATTTGTCCCCCAGATAGTGTGAGTGGGTCTCCCTCAGATCCTTATTCATCACCTGGATACCTCAGAATCATCCTCTCAGATGGTAAGGCTATCAGATGAGTTTATATTTAAAAACTTAGTGATTCAATATGGTGAAAGGCAGAGTAAGGTGCTTGGGTGTGGGAATCTCAGCAGGGTGACTCTGTCTTTGTGGGTGTCTGCTTGGTTCTGTTCTGTGTGAGATCACAGCATTTTGCATCTTGTTTTCTGATGGGGTTGGCCACCACTCCCAATCCAAGGCCTGGCTATGGTCTTTCTCCCGAGGCATGTGTGGGCCTGGCAGCTGCCGGTCCTGCTGCCCTGCAGGAGGGGCTTCTAGAAATAAAGCCCATCACTCAGTCCCAACCTCCCCTCTAGTCTTTGTCCCCATAAAACACTGAGGACTGTACACTCGCCCTACTTCCTTTCTGTGAGTTTCCATCACTGAAAGGGGCACTGTCAGCCGGCCCACACTGCCCTCCTCTTATCCCAGGTGTATCACACCTAGTATATTGTCACATGAGAATGGCATCTCCCTAACCAGAGAGCAGAGCTGATGGCTACTTTTCCTTACACTTAAATCTTTTCTGTTCCTTCATCCTCCCAGAAATCTTATTTCTGCCACTAAGGAGGAGAGTCTGGGTGTAGGTTTACCCAACACTTGTTCTTATTTTGAAAAATTTTCAAACCAACAAAATTTGCAGAATAATATGATAAGTGCCCATATACATTTCACCTAGATTCATCACTTGTTAGGGTTTCACCACATTTACACATTTCATCACGGCAGTCATTACGACAATTCATCTCTAAGCACTTCAGCTCCAACTCCTAAAAACAAGGACATTCTGACACGTTCCTATTTTGTCTTTATAAAACAACTGTCACACACTCAGGATATTTCACATCAGCAC
The DNA here is from genome assembly GCF_000001405.40 of Homo sapiens. NCBI lineage: Eukaryota > Metazoa > Chordata > Mammalia > Primates > Hominidae > Homo > Homo sapiens. The sequence continues at coordinate 126,879,721 of NC_000003.12, read as the reverse complement.
AATGCTCTTCTAATATAGTCTATATCTGATTTTTCCAATTACCCCAGTAATGATGCTGCTCTCCCATTCAGGATCCAATCAAGGTTCACACATTGGATTCACTTGACATGTCTCTTTATCCTCCTTTAATCTAAAGCATTCCCAGCCTTTCTCTGGCCTCTTGTGAAACTGATAACTTTTGAAGAGTCTGGCACATTTGTTTTGGAGATCATCCTTCAATATAGACTTGAAAGATTGTTTTCTTATTATTAGATTCAGGTAAAAAATTCTTGGTAAAAAAATGACATAGGCAATGTAGTGCCCTTCTCAATGCATCCCATGACTGGTAATAGGAAATTAAGATGGTGACCACTAGACTGCTCCATTATAAGATCCCATGGCAGATATTTTCCAGCAATGGCCACAGCAATGTCTCCCAACCCACATGTCCTAACTCTAATGGGACATGATGCCTCATCCCACCCTGCCCCACTGTGGTGAGGTCTGTATTCTCTCCCTGGATCTTGGATGGAATTCTGACTGCTTCAACCAATAGCTGAATAAATAGGGCAAAAGTGGCATTATGCAATCAACAAGGCTAGACTGCAAAACACCTTGTGCTCCTACATGCTTTTGGAATCTAGCCACCACATAATGTGGAAGCCTAGAGAGGCCACACCAAAAGACCACTTACAAGTGTGGCCAAGAGCCCAGCAAAGGTCCCAACCGACAGCCAGCATCCACTGCCACAAGCGTGAATGAGGACAGGTGCAGGTGATTCCAGCTCACAGCCATCAAGTCTTCCCAGATGAGGCCCAGGAGACTGTGGAGCAGACACAAACTGCTCCTCCTGCTCCTGACTCACAGCCTCCACCACTGTAACTGAATGGCTGCCTGATGCTATTATCAAAGGTGGCTGGTGATGCAGGCATAGATAAACTGCAACCATATCCCTTCCCTGCTATAATACATAATCTGAAGGGTGATGCTACAAGACCTGTGATTATCCTATTTCCCAACAATCTTTCATCCAATAGCTTCAGACCAATTCATGATTTTTGCCTGAATTAATTACGAAGGTGGCAAAAGTGACGGTATATCCTTTCTGTACTTACTAGTTGGCATTCTTTTGTAAAGACAATTTTCCTTTCCTTACTTTCCATACTTCCATATGTTTTATATCAGAATGGACTCAGATTCTCTTTTTAAACATTCAATGTGTTCTAATCCATTTCTGTCATTATTCACTGTGCATTCTAAGTGTGGCTCGTGGGAGCCCTTTCAGGCTGGATCCTCAGTGGTACGTGGACTCACATACTGCCATCATTCTGTGAACACTTCCTTCTTTTTCATAAAATAAAATGTCCTAGGCTCACCCTGTCAATTTCCTGTTGCAGCCTCGGAACCAGCCAGATTTCAGGAAACACTGGTTTCTTTCAATTAGGAATGGTCATTTAGAAACCAAGATTTAGGTGAAAGGAGTGCTTACTACTACTGATGTGTCTTCACTTTCAGTGTTCTTTCCGGGAACAAAGCTGGGAAAAATAGACTTCTTTAAAACCCTGAATTCATATTGATTCTGCTTATTCCAAACCAAGACCACAAGGCTCTTTCTTCCTCCATTCCATTTTTGCACCTTCTGTCCCCTACAGTGAGAACTCTAGCTCCTAATGACACCAGTGCTCATTTGCTCAGTCCTATAATACAAATAAAACAGCTTGTAATCACCATACCAATGGAAATCAAGCCTAAGTGAAGCTCAAGGTTTCATTTCTTCCTTAGAATACACTCTACTGAGGATGTACAGAGTACTATGTTCAAAAGTTACCCAAATTACTTTTTTAACTATACATTTTATTTTGAGATAATTGTAGATTCCCAGGCAGTGCTAATAAATAATTCAGACAATCCCATGTACCTTCCGCCAATGGTAATGTCTTAATAACTATAGGACAATATCACAACCACTGATCCACTAATTGATGTAATCCACCAATCTTATTCAGATTTCACCAGATTTATACACACTCATTTGTGCTTGTTTAAATCTAGTTTGATGCAGCTGGTCTACCTAACCTAACTTTTTTCCTTCTGTGTGGTTGTGGTATCTGATATAGAGTTAGGTTCCTTTAATGCTGTTTGTATTCATTTTTCCATCATCTTTGTTGACCTAATTTTTTTTTTTTTTGAGATGGAGTCTCACTCTGTCGCCCAGGCTGGAGTGCAGTGGCACAATCTCGGCTCACTGCAAGCTCCGCCTCCCGGGTTCAGGCCATTCTCCTGCCTCAGGCTCCTGAGTAGCTGCGACTACAGGCGCCTACAACCACGCCCAGCTAATTTTTTGTATTTTTAGTAGAGATGGGGTTTCACCGTGTTAGCTAGGACAGTCTCGATCTCCTGACCTCGTGATCCACCCACCTCGGCCTCCCAAAGTGCTGAGATTACAGGTGCGAGCCACCACGCCCGGCCGTTGACTTAATTTTTGAATAAACAAAACATCAACAGGGTTTAAAAGCCAAACTATATATAAAAAGTCTACTCAAAGAAGTCCCATCCCATCCCCATTCCCCGCTATGAGTAACAATTCCATTAGGTCCTGGTTTCTCCTTCCTGAGTTTCTTTCTGAAAAATAAGTGGATTCAAACACTTCTATCTTTTTCCCCCTTATTTTAGCAGAAGCACATTTTGGCCTCAGAATCTCAATTAGTGGTTGTTAATTCACAGGCTGGTGACTTAAAATCTTCATGATCTAGATGCTCCTCCTACCCAAAGTGCTTTGGATGCTGCTCAGATTCCATTGCAACCCGCTCCCTCTGCTCTGCTGACACTCTTCACCCTGCTGAGTCCGCTGGCTGCTTTCTCTCTTATCATATTATGGATCCAGGTTTTTCTTTCTAGACTTTCCTCATAACTCTTTTTCTTCTTCAATCATTTACACATTTGAAAACTGCTCTAAAAGAGGAAAGGGATCTGTTTATCTTAATGGAATAAATGTATTCTATTAGAGTCCGGTTGCAAAATGAATTTCTGTGATGCGACATTCACACATTCGTTCACTTTCCAGTGAAGTTCATTCCAGCCCACCAGGGGAAAAGTGGTCATAGGAGATAATGATAACACATTTAAAAGTACTGCCGATATTTTTAAGATCACATGTTCATGAGGGAAGTGAGGTATTTTCAATAAAACACTGCCAATAAAACATAAAATGTTAACAATTATACCTCACCACACTTTAAAAAATGTCACAAAATACAAATACCAAGAATGAGAGTACAACACTGTCACAGTTCTGGCAGGCTGGCCTGTTAACTCACACACAATTCCCAAGTACAGACAAACATTCCTGGGGTTCTGGCAATGGAGGCCCGTTTCTTCTCACCAGACTCAAACAAGCTTTGCATTATCTCTTCTTCCCAATGCCTTGCTGTGCTTCTGTATCATTTGAACTCATCAAGCTTCTTTCTAAACACCACCCACACCAGTAACACCTGCACTGGGTACTGGGGTCCCTGAATATGTGATTAGAAAGCAGTCTTCTGCAGCAAGCACCTTTGCCCACTAACTCATATAATGAACATTTCTTGAGCAGCTACAAAGAAGCAGGCTATATGAGCTGACACTTAACAGTGCTCAGAGTAAGTATTATTAGCCATTATTCTAGGCCAGACAAAGTCACTGGCTAATATCCAACAACCACCAGCAAACTACCAGATTCTACAATATATTCTATTTATTTTACTGAAAGCTGTTGTTCTCATTAGATGCCATTAGCATATCAAAAAATAATAGCTGAGTCTGACCATTTTAACAAGAGACAATGAGATGATCCATATTTCTCCTGGGAGAAGAGCAGAAAGCACAGGACCCTACAGGTTTTCATGGCAATATTCCTAAGGGAGAACATGTGACAGGATGTGATTTTTCTGATATTTCAAATCATTTTAAGAAAAAACAAAAATACAGTGCTTTGTTTGTTAGAAGACCTTTAACACACTGCATAAACTGCGAAAATACCTTTACCTCCCCGGGTTAGAGTCTAAACCCTGGGACTGTAGGATTCTAAGGACACTGACGCACCTCTAAACTGCCTGGTTTATTTAAAACTGCATGAAGTATGATGCCATCAAGAACCCTCACCAGAAGCCTCGGGAGTCTTTCATTAAAACACTACAAAACTTGAGCCCAATTCTCTCCAGCTCTTTCCCCTCTGCCCCTGGTGTTCCAAATTTCTGAGGGAAGCTCTCCCATGGCTTTTAGGTGCCACTCCATCACTGTAGCACGAGAGCAGTGCGCCAGCACCTGCCAGCTAGAGGCTCTACGTGCCAGCTCTCCATGTGCTCCCCAACAGTCCCAGGTGTCCACTGACAGGCCTGGGTCTCTGCTCTTCAGAAGGCAGGCAGCCCTTTCCCTGGCATAGCCTGTGGTGGCCAGCACCCTGCTGGACAGGCACACAGGCCACGGGTTCCCCAGGACCCATGCAGGGTGGGTACTTCCCCACAGGGCACCCTTCTTCCCTCTTCCTGCTCTGGATTCTGGTGTTGTGATGAGGAAGAATCACCCTTAGCCTGCAGGGTTCAGATTAAGGCAAGAGTCACACCAGTCTCACGATGGTGCAGCCAACACAGGGGCTAGGAAACACTGAGCTCCGCCCAGTGGGATCCAGAGAGGCTTCCTGGAGGAGGCAATGGCTAGGCTGAGTCTTAAAGGGGACACTGGTCAGGACAAGGTAGAGAGAACACATTTAATACAAGGTCCCAGAAGTACACAGAGATACCTGAAGGTGTACCAAGTGCACCCCAAGGCAGAAGCAGGTCCATTCTGCTGGTGGGAGCATGTGAGGTGGGGCCAGGGGAGCTGCAGGCAGACAGCCAGAAGGGGCTAGGACACCCAGGACCGTGAAGGACAGACCATAAGGATGGGGACCATCCTTCTGAGCAGGGAACTGGCAGGCTGTTTTGTGTGGTAATGAGAAATATGGACTTATTGAAGCTGTGGGACTAAAGGCAAGGAGACCACAAAGGTCCAGGTAACAGATGACGGGGCAGTATGGATGGAGAGGAGAAACAGTTCATAAATATTTAGGAAGTACGGGAATTGATTGAATACAAGGAAAGGGAGAGGAAGGAGCCCAGCAGACCATGAGTCTTCTGCTGTGGTAGTGAAAGTGGACCATTCATTGCATATTTCCCGGGGAAGATGATGGTTTCTACAGAGCACCTGCAGCCTCAGGTGATGAGGAGCCCTCCAGACAGAGCTGCCCTGATGAGTGCCATCCCAAGGCTACATGGTACACATCCTGACGGGCTCAGCTGCTTGTGCCCTCTCCCTGCCCAGACGTTGGCCAGCTCCATCTAATCTGGCCTGTGCTCTCCACACTGGCACGTGCAATGTTCTCCTCCTAAATTAATGGCTCCAATCTTATTCCTAAGGCATCTTTCAGGTTCTACTTTACCATGAACACTTTTAACTGGTCCTGAGAGCAGGAACACAGCTGTAAGGAAACACTTTTTAGACACCTGGTGTTACACCTAGAGTAAGTGGTAAGGCACACAGAGGAGCTGAATTCCATGAGCAGCCTTGAGAAGGACAGTCCTGAGGCGTCATGAGTTCCTGGGACGGCACTTCATAAGTGACATGGAAGCAGACTGTCTGGAGGGGACCCGACATGGCCCGGGATCCAGAGTAATTACAGCAGTGAGCTGGGTTCTGCGGGGCAGGGGCCATCTCCATTTCTGAAAGGAAATCTTCCCGCCCTTTCAAAAGACAAATCACAGCTTCAACAATGGAGGCAAGGGTAGAGATGTGAAGCCAGCCTGCCTCAGGTTTAAATCCCGCTTCTACCACTTAACAAGCTGTGTGGCCTTGAGCAAGCTACATACTCTCTGAGGCCCAGGTTCCCAGTGGTACAGAGGGAATACCTGCATCTACTTACTAGACCTGTGTGTGACTAGAGATAAAGCCCCTGGTGGAGTGCCTGGTACATAAGCACTCAAACAAAGGGAGCCATGGCTGGTCCCTCCATGCAGGTGGAAGAGAATGTCAAGGCCACAGACCTCTGGGAGAAGCCATCCTGCCTGCTCAGTGGTGATGCCTAGCAGGTGCTGCAGAGGCCACAGAAGCTGCAGAAGTTCTTATCACGGCACTCCAGCCAGCCCCAGCCCTGTGGATTAAGTTCCTTTGGCTGACCAACCTGAACCAACCTTAGCTGAACTGGCATCTCACATTCTGAATCAACAGCCATAGGGAAGGACAGGAAACTCATGCACTTGGAGTATTTCTGACCTCAGACAATGAAGTCTTCCCTCCTCAGCTCTTACTCTGCCAAAAACACTGGTGATATTGGTGAGGCGTGCACTGAATAATGGACTTGAAAGAATGAACAAATAAAGCAAGGCTGGGAGAGAGAGCTTCGGGAGAAAGAGGGGGAAAAAAAGACAAACCTTCTACTCACTGCACTTGAACAACCACCAGGTCTCATTCAGGCAACGCAAAAAGAGCAAATAGGCCTGCGGTCTTTTCCCAGCTCCAGCACTATCACTATTTCTCATCTAGAGAGATGATGCGCATGGCCTCCACTTATTCTTTGAATATCTGAAAACACTTTGCAAACCAGGATGTTTGATGTGATGGGGAATGCCTACTGGAAACATACAAGTGTTCACATGACAGTGGATATTTACGACCAGCCGTGTTCAAGGAAGTAGCAAAAGCAGCTGTCCCAGGACTGTAGATATCCTGCACAGTGCTGACAGAAGGTAGAGAGACAGTAGCCCCTGTCAAAAAAGTACACTCCTGTGTTGAGATGCTGAAACTTGCGTAAGCACAACTTGCCTTAGGCCACAACAGAGGAGAATTGCGGTGAGAAACGAGGGAAATCAGCAGTGTCCCTGCCTCAGCAGACCACAGCCCAGGGAAGGAGCAGCAGGGCAGGGTCCTCAACTGTTACTCGCCTGGAGAACATCCTGTTTTGCCCCTTGGTTCTAAAAGATAGGGATGAAAACCAGGGCTCTCCAGGGAAGCAAGGTGCAGGAGCTGAGACCAGTCCAGGAGAGAGGAAGCCTGTGAGTTCAGTGCTCCTGGCAGCTCAGGCAAGGAAGGTTCTATGCCTGGAGCCTGTGGATCCCTCATGCCAGGAAGAAAGAGTGCAAGGAATCCAGCTTCTAACCTAAGATTCTAAACAGTGTTTCTCAAAGGTGGGCCTTAAACCATCCATGTAGGCATAGGTGTGCTCATCTAAATGCAGATTCTTGAGCCCGAGCCTAGACTAGGACTCTGCGGTGGAAATCTTTTTACCGAGCACTTCAGGTGATTACGAGGTATACAAAGTTGCCCCAAATAGGATCTCTTCATCTTGGCACTTAAAAAAAAATAGAGCAGAGTTTCACAATGTTGCTCAGGCTAGACTCAAACACCTGTGCTTAAGCAATCCTCCCATGTCAGCCTCCCGAGAAGCTGGGTCTATAGGCTGGCCCCATGGTACCTGGCACTGTCAACATTTTGTGCTAATTCCTTGCTGTGAGGGGCTGTCCTGGGCACTGTAGGGTGGAGAGCTGCATCCCAGGCCCTTACCTAGTAGATAGATGCCAACAGTATCCTTCCCTCAGTCATGACAACCAAATATGTCTCCAGATGTTGCCAAATGGCCCTTGAAGGGCAAAAGCACCCCTGGTTGAGAGCCACCACACCCTAAGGGGAAGACATAAGAGAGATAAGAGTCTTTAGAAACAAATTTCTGAGAAATACAATGATGGATGATCTTTAAAAGGGGAAGAGGAGTCCAGGCACGGTGGTTCATGCCTGTGATCCCAGCACTTTGGGAGGCCGAGGAAGGCGGATTATGAGGTCAGGAGATTGAGACCATCCTGGTTAACACGGTGAAACCCCGTCTCTGCTAAAAATACAAAAAATTAGCCAGGCGTGGTGGTGCGTGCCTGTAGTCCCAGCTACTCGGGAGGCTGAGGCAGGAGAATTGCTTGAACCTGGGAGGCGGAGGTTGCAGTGAGCCAAGATTGCGCCACTGCACTCCAGCCTGGGCGACAGAGTGAGACGCCGACTCAAAAAAAAAAAAAAAAAAAAAAGTTGGGGGGTCGGGGGGAAGAGCATAAGCTGTCCTCAGCTCCAACGAGCCTAAAAATCATGACCTTGCCAGGCTCGCTACTCATAGGGTGGGGACGGGGCTCCCTTGAGGGAACACGTCATCCTGGGGAGAAGGAGACCTACAATCTGATGAACAGAGGTGATTTCTATCATGTGCTTCTAGGAGTGAAACCCCTGAGAATCCCTGACCTAAGGGCCTCAGTGGGGCTGTGGAGGAAGTTTTCGTAGAAGCACCCATGCCTAACAGAGTACAGGAAGGGCAGGGAACCAACCAGGAACAAGACCGAGTGGCCCAGGCCTATAAGAATGGGGTCAGGAGAGCTGAGGTGCAGACACGCTGATCCTTTTGGAAAATGTTAAGGACCAAGAAAGGGCTTTTAAAATTGGATTAGGAGTGACAGAAACAAGAAGGGATAGGCCCATACTGGGGTGAAAGGTGTTCAGTTAACAGATGATAGAGAGAAAGAGCTACTAAACTCCCATTTTCTATCAAGGAGAACAATCTTCAGACTGAAAAGGGTGAATCAAACGCTGATATGAGGGAATTGGAACGTATGTCAGGGAAGAGATTGTGAGAGAACATCCAGTCACACTAAATGAATCCAAATCTCCTGACCCAGATGAATCACAGCTCAGCGCAGAATTCACTCACTAAAGAGACTCGCTCGCTGCAGGCACTCTCGAGAATTCAGACAAAATGGGAAGATGCCCAAGACAAGACAATGTCCAATTCAGCAAAGGGGAGATAAGGCAGATGCTTTGCAAACTACAGATTGGTGAACTGGACATAGATCCCTGGCAGAACTTTATGGTCCAGAAATGCAGTCCCCAGAAGCTAGCCCGGTCCAGGCTGCTGAAGAACAGGTCAGGCCAGACCCATGTTGTCACCTTTTGTCTTTGTCTACTCTAAGAGATGAAAATTAATAGGCATAGTGAAGTCCCTGTGCTCAGGTCCAAAAACAGTAGTCATATGCAGAATGTGGGAATGTGGCTTCCCAGTGTGCACACTAAGGTGGCCCGAGGGAGCCACGCTAAGGACTGGAAGCCCCAGGATGTGCTGTGGAAGACAGTCCCTCACAAGCAGGCACAGCACAGCGCCATCCAGCCCAACCCAGGCACCAGGACGTGAAGGATGGAGACAAAACCAAAAGGACAAGTATTGGATCACTTCCTGCAAGGAATACCTGAAAGAACTGGGAGAACGGTTAAGGGGAAAAAACCCAAGTCAGCCCTTAGCTCCCCGACCTCCACACATACAGGGGGCTGCAGGTGGATGCTGTGTGGTTCTGTAACAGCCACGGCGACTCCACAGGGTGGGAGTAGAAGCAACGGGTCCTAATTCTATACTGGAACACGGAGTTTAATCCAACATAAAGAACAGGTATGAGTGACCACTAATGAGAGGAACCACCTCAGGAGGAAGAAGTGACTGAATATCTCTGTATACATTCTAGTAGGCATGTTCATATAGTATCTCAGGGAACCCTTAGCAACACTCCAGTAAGGTCCATTAAGAATGAGGAATTGAGGCTCAGGAAAGTTAACTAACGCAGTTAGCAAGTGCTGAGGACAAGAATCTGACCCAGGGATGAACCCAAAGCCCATGCTTTTCCAACCTGGGAGCTGCTAGTCAGCAGCTAAGCCATCGCCAGCTGGGGAGACAACAGGAAAACATCCTGAAAGTGCCTTCTAACAGGGGAGATTCCAACAATGATTAGAATGAATAAAACAGGATTTCAGAAAGCAATGAATGTGACTGCTTAATTGGTAATAAATAAGTACAGATCCAAAACACAATTTTTTGTCCATCAAATTAACAAACTTAAAAAATGACAAAAATAGGGAAGGGGGAGCTTTTAAACTTACAATAAGTTACACAGATTTTAAATATCTAAATGCCAAAAGTAGTATCTATAACATTAAACCAACAGATCAGGAAAACAGAGTAACAATAAATAATTAGAAGTTAATAATTCATATTATATAAAGAAGTCCTAAAAATTAATTAGAAAAAGACAAACTGCCTAACACAAAACTAGCCAAATGATATTTAGAGGCAAGTCTCAAAAGAAGAAATACAAAGGCCCAATAAACTTATGAAAAGATGCTCAGCCGTATCAATAATTATATGCAAAATTTTGTACCATCACCATGCTGTGATGGTATAGATGTGGGGCAAGAAACTCCAAAACACTTTTTGTTGGTACATGTTTTTGATGTACCATTGAGAAGTTTGGATGTATCCATTGAAATTAATTGTAAAAAATAAAAATAATCATAATGTCCATCCACAGGAAATGATTAAATAACGGTAATCCCCATCACAGTCATCAAAAAAAAAAAAAAAAAAAAAAGGAGACTGGTGTGCAAAGAGACCTGATAATGCAAAGTCGTCCCAGATGTACTGTTCTGTGCAAGTTACAATATTAACCTATGAAATAATAAACTGTGAGCCTATTTGTTAAAACAAACTATGTTTGTATTATTTACACAAATAAGGTTGCTTAAAATGTATGGAAGAATACACACCAGTGGTTAGTTCTGGAGATTAGGAGCCATACTTTGCATGCTTTCACAGTGTTTTTTAACTTTTTTAGAAATGTGCATTATATGAGTAATTAACTTAAAAAGTGAAAAGGAAACTACTCAATGCTGATGAAAGCTCATGAGACTGGCACTGTTACATGCCACCGGTGGAGTGAGAGCTGCTACAGCCTCTATGCATGGCAATCTGGCAACCAAAAGCCTTATGATGTGCAGGGTCTACAGCCTAGTAACCACAATTCTTCATCTATTTCTCTTAAGAAAACAAGTTTAGGCAGCTAGAAAGTTTGTCAAAGTAATCTGGTTTTTACCTAGTAGGAAAAGCCTAAAGTAACTTAGGTGGAGCAAATTATGGCACATGCACATAGATTTGATGTGGAAAAAGGGTTCAAAATAGACTGTGTTCTAAAAAGGTTACCAAATGGCATGCATGGTTACAATTCCATTTTTGCAAATATTATAACATTACAAATTTTACCATAGCAGAAGCCAGTCTAGGCATGCATACAGCAAGAGATTTACAATGGTTACCTCTCTAGGTGAACTGATTTGGCCAATTTCATCTTATTCTTTGGGATTATCTGCATTGTTTGTTTTTTTCCTACATGAACATGTGTTACTTAAGACGAGTATAAGCAATTTTTTTTTTTTAAAAAAAAAAGCAATGCTGCCCCATGGCTGGGTAAGCTCCAAGCAGATGGTTGGGTAATTCCCACAAGTACCAAGGCAGTTTTTAAGATTGAGAGGGCCTGGCTCCCCTGTTGGCACCAAGCAACACTCAGTTACACTCAGAGAGGAACTCCATCTACGTCCATCCACCTCAGCCCAGGCTCTGCCACTGGCTCGTCTCTGATGCAGTCTGTCCTGACTGCAGAGCTGCTGTATGTTTGTCAGGTGTTGACCAGGACCTGAGCTGGACTCTGTAGGGGGAAACTGAGTTAGGTTATGCCACCACATGTGGCAGCCCTACAAAGAAGGGGCAATGGGAAGTGGTCAGAAAAGGCTTCCAGGGTAGGCAGGGCTTGCCAGGTGACCTTGCGCTCCAGGGACAGATGATGCTGCTGGACTGCATGCCAGGTGTGACTGGAATAGGGCCTGGAGCCACAAGCAGGGCCCAGATCACAGAGCCCTGTAGGCAAAGCTAAGGAATCTCAGCTCTCTCCTGAATGCAGTGAGAGCCACTGATGAACTCTAGATAGAGTCTGCCTGAAACAGGTGGATGCCAGATCATAGGTGGAGGAGGTTTTAGCTTCAGTTCAAGTGAGAGATTAGCAAGGAGCCACCATCATGGAGGGAGGACAGAGACAGCATGGGAGACATTAGCTCAATGATGTGGGCAGGACTTGGTCACCAGTGGATTGGGGGTGGCACAAGCATCTGTTTATAGCCAGCCCCAGCAGAGGCCAATGGCTAATATCAGATTGCCTTTCTCAGCATGCCCCCCTCCCCAAGGGCCAAAGGGCAGAGAAAAATATCAAGGGGGTTCTCCTGGTCAAACGAGCTGATCAAGGCTGGACAGAGAAGAGCTGAGAAAGAAAGGAAAGGAAAATGCCTTAGAGTACCCATTTCATTAAAATTATCTGTTTAACAGTCTTTTCCAGCAGGGATAGGTGGTAACCCATGCACATGATGGACAGGCACTTCTGGCTCTTCAACCCGTAAGTACCTATTTAGCTGGCTTAATATGCTAGGGGAAAAAACCAACACACAATAACGCTGGAGGAGGAAATGCTGCATATTCATGTAGCTGCTGCCAGCTATGGTGTAGGAATCACTTTGAGATGAGGTACTGATTCAGCTTGTGCTTAAAAGGACCCTAGCAACAATAATGGAGGAAATGACATAAATCAGCAGCAGTGAACATCAACTTAACCGTGAGATTAGCCCTTGGCCTTGCATGACAATTTCACCTCTCCTAAAAAGGTGTATATTTGGCTTTTCCTGCAGCATTGACCTTTACTTCTCTGGACCAGGTCCCATGCAATGAAAGAGAACAGGAGAATAAGAACCTAAGTGTATGCAACAAGGCACTGGCATGAAATCCAGGCTGGGGTCTGCTGTAGGAGACGACAGGCTTAATGCCTAAGAACTCACTGCAGCACGGTGGCCCTGGTGGATCCTGACTTACACCAAAAACAAACAAAAAACCCCAAAACTCCTGGAAGATAATATTTTTGAGAAAATCAGAGAAACTAATGTCAATTCTCTGAGGCAAGATAATAACATTGTAGTTATGTAAGAAAATGCCCACGGTTTTTAGAGATGCATATTGAAGTACGTAGGGGGAAACTTCATGGTCACTGGGGTTTGCATGAAAGTACTTAAGAACAAAAGAAAAAAGGCAGAGAGATGAGCAAATGTGACAAAATCATTAAGTCTGGGGGACAAGGAAAGAAAGGCTCGGTGCACTGTTCCACTTAGGGTAAAGATCATTGTAGGTGATTTAATACAGATTCAAACAATCCTCTGAGGTGGCCCAGTAGAGTCAACTGGTGAATAAGTCATCCTCTGAATTTAGCCTGCCAAGGCCTTTGGGCAGCAAATTCTGACTGCTCCCTACTGTCCCAAATCATTCATGTGACAACTGGTATAGATTTCCAAGCCTGTTTCTTTATCTGTAAAACGGGAATGACAGGAGTCCCTTCCTCACAGGCTTGTTCAAGGCTGTAACAAATTAGTACATGTGACACACTCAGAACGCATCAGGCACTTTTGCAGCAGAGTCAGGCAAAGTCAGTGATTACTGTTATCACCCAGCTCACTGGGTCACTGTGAAGGTCAAAGGAGTCAGTGCAGGTGAAGTGCTTGACTACTGCTTTGCAAGTGGGACCACTCAATAAATGCTAACTACTGGGCACCAAGAAAACCAGCTTTGGAGACAGACAGGTATAGTCTGTTAGCAATATTATATTAATTCATTTAATTCTCAAAACTACCCTACGAGATCAGAACTACTAAGATTCCTATTTTACAGAAGTAGAGTCTGAAAGCCCTGATTAAATCTTGGCTCTGAGGTTGAACAGCTCAGGCCAACTCTTAACCTCTCAGTGTCCTCATTTTCATTTGTGATTCTCTCTGCACTCCCCAACCCCACCATCAGGAAACCTAACTGACAGGTCTTGGGCACTGTACTTAGCAAAGCGCAGGTGTGCAGCCAATTCAGCAGGGTTCCTGGCACAGACAACTACCCTAGAGAAGCCTGGTTGCAAGGCCCAGGAGGGCCACAGCCTCTCTAGAGTGCAAGAGAGGTTGCAGTTTCTGCTTCCCCTTACCTCAGAGATTAGTGTGAGATATATGAGAGGATTTCTGCAAAGTAGTAGATGAGACTGAGGTAAAGAAACACATCTTTAGCAAACATACCAGAAGCAGTATGCAGAGTAGACTCAGGGAAGAGGGTAATATGTGGTGGTAATGGAAGTGGGGGCAGTGAGGGAGGTGATAATAGTAGTAGCGGTGGGAGAGGGGGCAGCAGCAATCAAAATGGTGGTAGCAGTGAAGGTGTGGAGGTGGTAGAGGAAGAGGGAGAAGCAGAGGTTGCAGAAGTGCAAGTGGACGTGGAGGAGGAGGTTATGGAGGATGGTGGAGATGGTGGTGGTGGTGAAGGCGAAGTTGGTGATGGAGTTGATGAAAGTGTAGGCACTGGAAATGAAGCTGGTGGTGGAGGGTAGAGGTGGCAGTGGTGGTTGTGGTGGAGGCTGCAGAGGTGGAGATGATGACAGAAATGGTGGTGGTGGTGGTGGGGGCAGAAGGGGTTGGTGGAGCAGTTGGTAGAGGTGGAAGTGGTAGAGGTGTAGTTGGTAATGGAGGTGGCTGGAAGTAGAGGAGGTAAAATTGAACGTAGATGTCAAGGTAGAGTTGGTGGAAATGGAGGTGGTGGTGGAGGAGGAGGAGGAGGAAGAAGTGGAGGTGGTAGTGGAGGAGGAGGAGGAAGAAGTGGAGGTGGTGGAAAAGGAGGTGGTGGTGGAGGAGGAGGAGGAGGAAGAAGTGGAGGTGGTGGTGGAGGAGGAGGAGGAAGAAGTGGAGGTGGTGGAAAAGGAGGAGGAGGAGGTAGTGATGAAGTAGAGGTAGTAGAGGTAGTGGTGGTGGTGGTGGAGGAAGAAAAGGTGATGGTGGTAGTGGTGATGATGGAGGTGGTGATGGAGGAGGAGATGATGGTGGAGGAGGAGGTGATGGTGGAGGAGAAGGTGATGGTGGAGGAGGAGGTGATGGTGGAGGAGGAGGAGGAGATGATGGTGGAGGAGGAAGAGGAGATGATGGTGGAGGAGGAAGAGGAGATGATGCTGGAGGAGGAGGTGACGGTGGAGGAGGAGGTGATGGTGGAGGAGGAGGTGATGGTGGAGGAGGAGTAGATGATGGTGGAGGAGGAAGAGGAGATGATGGTGGAGGAGGAAGAGGAGATGATGGTGGAGGAGGAGGAGGAGATGATGGTGGAGGAGGTGGAGGAGGAGGAAAAAAGGTAATGGTGGTGGAGGAGAAGGAGGTGGTGGAGGTGGAGGAGAAGGAGGTGGTGGAGGTGGAGAAGGAGGTGGTGGAGAAGGAGGAGGAGGAGGAGGTGGAGAAGGAGGAGGAGGTGGTGGAGGTGGAAGAGGAGGTGATGGTGGTGATGGTGCAGCTGGTGGTGATGGAGGAGGAGGAGGTGGTGGTGGCAGTGATGATGGTGAAGGTGGTGGAGGAGGAGCAGGAAGAGGAGGAGGAGGAGGAGGTGGTGGTGTAGTAGTGATGGTGGAGGTGGTGATGAAGGAGGAGGAGGGGGAGAATGGTGAGGTGGTGGTGGAGGTGGAAGTGGCAGAGAAGGATGAGGTGGTGGTGATGGAGGAGGAGGTGGTGATGGAGGAGGGGGAGATGGTGATGGTGGAGGAGGAGGAGATGATGATAATGGTGGAGGATGAGGAGGTGGTGATGGTGGAGGAGGGGGAGGTGGGGAGGTGGTGATGGTGGAGAAGGTGATGGTAATGGTGGTAATGGTGGAGGAGGTGGTGATGGTGGTGGAGGATGTGGTAATGGTGGTGGAGGAGGTGGTGATTGTGGGGGAAGAGGAGGTGATGGTAGAGGAGGAGGAGGTGGTGATGGTGGTGAAGGAGTTGGTGATAGTGGGGGAGAAGGTAGTGATGGTGGAGGAGGAGGAGGTGGTGATGGTGGAGGAGGAGGTGGTGATGGTGGAGAAGGAGGAGGTGTCGATGGTGGAGGAGGAGGAGGTGTTGATGGTGGAGGAGGAGGTGGTGATGGTGGAGGAGGAGGAGGTGTTGATGGTGGAGGAGGAGGTGGTGATGGTAGAGGAGGAGGTGGTGATGATGGTAGAGGAGGAGAAGGTGCTGATGGTGGTGGAGGAGGAGGTGATGGTGGTGGAAGAGGAGGTGGTGATGGAGGAGGAGGACGTGGTGATGGTAGAGGAGGAGGAGGTGGTGATGGTGGAGGAGGAGGAGGTGGTGATGGTGGAGGAGGGGGAGGTGGTGATGGTGGAAGAGGGTGAGGTGGTGATGGTGGAGGAGGGGGAAGTGGTGATGGTGGAGGAAGAGGAGGAGGTGGTGATGGTGGAGGAGGAGGTGGTGATGGTGGAGGAGGAGGAGGTGGTGATGGTGGAGGAGGAGGTGGTGATAGTAGAGGAGGAGGAGGTGGTGATGGTGGTGGAGGAGGTGGTGACAGTGGGGGAGGAGGAGGTGATGGTGGAGGAGGAGGAGGTGATGATGGTAGAGGAGGAGGAGGAGGTGGTGATGGTAGAGGAGGAGGAGGAGGTGGTGATGGTAGAGGAGGAGGAGGTGATGGAGGAGGAGGAGGAGGTGGTGATGGAGGAGGAGGAGGAGGAGGTGGTGATGATGGTGGAGGAGGCGGTTGTGATGGTGGAGGAGGAGGTGGTGATGGTGGAGGAGGGGGAGGTGGTGATGGTGGTAGAGGGGAAGGTGGTGATGGTGGAGGAGGGGGAGGTGGTGATGGTGGAGGAGGAGGTGGTGATGGTGGAGGAGGAGGAGGAGGTGATGATGGTGGAGGAGGAGGAGGAGGTGGTGATGGTGGAGGAGGAGGAGGAGGTGATGATGGTGGAGGAGGAGGAGGAGGTGGTGATGGTGGAGGAGGAGGAGGTAGTGATGGTGGAGGAGGAGGTGGTGATGGTGGAGGAGGAGGTGGTGATGGTGGAGGAGGGGGAGTTGGTGATGGTGGTAGAGGGGAAGGTGGTGATGGTGGAGGAGGAGGAGGTGGTGATGGTGGAGGAGGAGGAGGTAGTGATGGTGGAGGAGGAGGTGGTGATGGTGGAGGAGGAGGTGGTGATGGTGGAGGAGGGGGAGTTGGTGATGGTGGTAGAGGGGAAGGTGGTGATGGTGGAGGAGGAGGAGGTGGTGATGGTGGAGGAGGAGGTGGTGATGGTGGAGGAGGAGGTGGTGATGGTAGAGGAGGAGGAGGTGGTGATGGTGGAGGAGGGGGAGGTGGTGATGGTGGAGGAGGGGGAGGTGGTGATGGTGGAAGAGGGTGAGGTGGTGATGGTGGAGGAGGGGGAGGTGGTGATGGTGGAGGAAGAGGTGATGGTGGAGGAGGAGGTGGTGATGGTGGAGGAGGAGGAGGTGGTGATGGTGGAAGAGGGTGAGGTGGTGATGGTGGAGGAGGGGGAGGTGGTGATGGTGGAGGAAGAGGAGGAGGTGGTGATGGTGGAGGAGGAGGTGGTGATGGTGGAGGAGGAGGAGGTGGTGATGGTGGAGGAGGAGGTGGTGATGGTAGAGGAGGAGGAGGTGGTGATGGTGGTGGAGGAGGTGGTGATAGTGGGGGAGGAGGAGGTGATGGTGGAGGAGGAGGAGGTGATGATGGTAGAGGAGGAGGAGGAGGTGGTGATGGTAGAGGAGGAGGAGGTGATGGAGGAGGAGGAGGAGGTGGTGATGGAGGAGGAGGAGGAGGTGGTGATGATGGTGGAGGAGGCGGTTGTGATGGTGGAGGAGGAGGTGGTGATGGTGGAGGAGGGGGAGGTGGTGATGGTGGAGGAGGGGGAGGTGGTGATGGTGGTAGAGGGGAAGGTGGTGATGGTGGAGGAGGAGGAGGTGGTGATGGTGGAGGAGGGGGAGTTGGTGATGGTGGAGGAGGGGGAGGTGGTGATGGTGGAGGAGGGGGAGGTGGTGATGGTGGAGGGGGAGGTGGTGATGGTGGAGGAGGGGGAAGTGGTGATGGTGGTGAAGAGGGAGGTGGTGCTGGTAGTGAAGGGGGAGGTGGTGATGGTCATGGAGGGGGAGGTGGTGATGGTGGAGGAGGGGGAGGTGGTGATGGTGGAGGAGGGGGAGGTGGTGATGGTGGAGGAAGGGGAGGTGGTGATGGTGGAGGAGGGGGAGGTGGTGATGGTCGTGGAGGGGGAGGTGGTGATGGTAGTGGAGGGGGAGGTGGTGATGGTAGTGAAGGGGGAGGTGGTGATGGTCGTGGAGGGGGAGGTGGTGATGGTCATGGAGGGGAAGGTGGTGATGGTAGAGGAGGGGGAGGTGGTGATGGTAGTAGAGGAGGAGGTGATGGTGGAGGAGGAGGTGGTAATGGTGGAGGTAGTGATGGAGGATGAGGAGGATGAGGTGGTGGTGCTGGTGGTGGTGCTGGTGGTGGTGGTGTTGGTAGTGGTGGCGGTGGCAGTGGCAGGGGCAGGGGTGGGAATGGAAATCTTTTATGAAGTGCTTACTGAGAGCTCCTCCTGGATAAACACTGTGAGCCATCTCATTTCTTCTCATAATGATCCGAAGTAGAAACTTTATATAGATGAAGAAAGTGAAGTTCAGTAAGGAGTAAATCACTTGGTTGAGGTTATAACGGTTAGTACACACGTTGGGAAGCCACGACTTAAAAGTACCTAACTTCAGAGCCTGTGACCTTAACCACTATCCTCACACTATAGTGGAAAAACTGTAGGTCTGTGGACAGGGATGCAAGGAGGCAGAGTCCTTGCTATTTATTCATTAGGTGTGTGACCTCCAGGAACAATGACAACAACAGCAGTAGCAAGGATATGTTACAGCAGGCTAGCCTGTAGGTTATGTCCTTTATTACATAAACGGAAATGCAACTCTAGTGTCTTCCTTTTAAAGATGAAAGTCCCCAGGGCTCAAGGGCTTAAGTGACTTCATCATCTCTATAAGGCCAGTAAGTGGTAAAGTCTTAATTCAAACTCGGTTCCCTCTCAATCTAAAAACCCAAGGCTTACAATACCAGGAAACTCTCAAACCACTTAACTGCCTTGGGCCATCTGTGAAAAGAACTGGACTGGGTCAATGGTTATCAATTTCTTTGTATATTCCTGTCTCATTGATCACATTTATCAAAGGACCTGGTCCCACCAGGACAAGTGCACAAAAGCTCATCTTGCTAAGAAAGGCAGTCGTCAATCTCTAAGCAATATGCTATTTCACTTCTCACTTTCAATACACGGCTGAGAACACACAAAATGGTAGCTTTCATGGTGGTACCATTACTAAAAAAAAGGTGTTAATGGGCTAACCAGTTGGCGGTACCCTTCTTCAGCCTAACCTTGTGAAAAACTTTTTCTTTTTTTATTATCCTTTAAGTTCTAGGGTATATGTGCACAACATGCAGGTTTGTTACATATGTATACATGTGCCATGTTGGTGTGCTGCACCCATTAACTCATCATTTACGTTAGGTATATCTCCTAATGCTATCCCTCCCCCCTTTCCCCAACCCCACAACAGGCCCCGGTGTGTGATGTTCCCCTTCCTGTGTCCAAGTGTTCTCATTGTCAATTCCCACCTGTGAGTGAGAACATGCGGTGTTTGGAAAACTCTGATTCAAAAACTCTTCAAAAGTCCCTTGGGCTCAGATCCCTCACTCAGCAGGTTAAAGAGTGCTCCCCATGACGGTGGAAGGTGGGCCTCTTCCCCAAGGGAAGCTTTCCTGCTGTATTGTTTTCAGGTCATTGTTAGCAGTTCCCTCTGAATCCCCAGGCTCTAGCAGCTTCTCTCTATAGGCCTCTCACACTCACATCCTCAAGGTAGGGGACCCTGCTCTGAATCTCTGGTGCAGACTCTGGGCCTCTCTCACTCACAGAAGTACTGCTGGCCACATTGGAGTGACCGGCAGGCAGGTGGCGGCTCTTCCAACGAGACACACCCCTCACTGAGCACGTGTCTGGAGACCTCCTCCTTCTCCAGTGCTGGGGAACCTGAACCCTACATGGAACCCAGCATCAGTCTCCATGACAATGCAGGACATGCATCCTCAACACAGCTCACGGGGCCTTCACGCCAGCATGAGCGAGGCCTCACTTCGTCCTCAATGTCTCTGACAGGCAGCATTTGGCACTGCCAACCACATTCTTCCTGGACTCTTCTCCACTCACTGATGCGGGAGGCGGTGGGAGGCAGCACGTGGCAGTGGAAGAGCGGGCTCTGGAGTCTCGCAGACCTGACTTCATCTATCAGCCGTGTGCATGGCTTCTGACAGCTACTTCAGCCTGCTTCCCAGCTTCTGCATTTGTAGAACATGTGTAATATAATCTACCTTACAGGGTTGCTGCAAGGATTCACGATGACTTATGTAAGAGGGCCTGGCACATAGCATATGCTCACAAAATTATAGTGACTGTCATTCTGTAGGACACAGAACTCCCTGTCTGATACTTCTCAATCATCAGCTGGTCATCTCTGCCTCATACGTGCAAGCCTAGAATTAAATTTACAACCTTCTCCAAGTGTAGTGGCTCACCTAAATTTTCTCTTTCTCTTAATGGCACCATTATTCTTTCTCAGGCCAGCCTGTTTTCCCAGCTGTACCACCTGTGGCCTCCCTTCTCACATAGCACCTGGCTGGGGCCAAGCTCTCCAGCCAGAAGCCCCAGTTTCTCCACTACCAGCCCTGCATGCGGCCCACTGACATCCTGCTCTCTCCAAACACAGCTCCCACTGAGAAGCCTTCTGGGCAAAGGCTCCCTCCTCCTCTGGAACCCCGCTGCGTCACTGTTTCCTGATTGCATACACACACGTTCCCTTCTTTATTCCTGCAAACATTTACTGTGCACCTACTCTATGCCAGGCACTGCATCCTCAGCCCTTGGCGATGAATCACCTGATGAATCAGACCAGCAAGGACTGTGCTCACAGATGCAGAGCAGACAGCCACAGGCGCTAACAAGACAGAGTGTGGCAAGTGCTAGAATATGCACAGGGCTCAAACCTCAGCGGGGGACAGACAACGGAGCAGCAGGCGATTCTGCGGTGCCTATGGGGCACTCCAGTGAGGTGTAGCTCCACACCCAGCCCTCATTCTGTGCCCATGACCCTTGTCTCACAGCACCTGACACAGGGTTTTAGCAACTCTATTAGACTGAATGGACATGGAGCAACCTGGTCAGAAGAGGAGGTACTCAGAATTATAGAACTCAGAGGAGGCAAGAGCCCAGCGGGCCGGGTGCAAACAGATGTGGGCTAACAGTGGGCCTGCCGCATTCTGGCTGTGTCTCTCCATAAGGCGAGTAGCCTATCCCTACTGGTCTGTCCTCCAGTCACACGAGGAGGCGAGGCAAACACAGGTGGGCCTGGGAGGGCCTGGAAGAGGATGTTTAAGGCCTGTAAGGTCCCTGGGATTTGGAAAGCAGATCCTGAGCAGAGCGCTGCAGGCCAGCGAGGAGGGTGCCTGGCAGCGAGGGGCAGCAGAGGCCATGGGGCACCCCTGCTGGGCTGCCTTCCTCAGCTGCAGCCCACTTTTTATGAAGCCTCGTGTGCCGACTCTTTCCTGAGAGCACAGCCAGATGAACTCTCAGCAACTGAACACACCTGTAACTAACACCAAGGTCATGAAAGGAAGCCTTACCCACCCCTCCCCCCCGCCCCCGCCCCTGCCACCACATGACCCCTGCTAGTCACTGCTGCCCCCAAAGGGTAACTGTTATCCCAGTTGCTAACACCATAGATGTGCTGTGCTGCCTTCACCCCTTCTGTAGATGGAATCACAGTTTGTAGGTCCTCTTCCCTACCCGGCTGCTTTCCTCAGCAGTGTGTCTGGAGTTCCAACAGCAGCACCTGCAGCTGTGGACGGCTCACTTTCATGCCAGCAATGCTCTATCATGAATACCACCGGCACTTGCCTCTCTCCTCATT
This sequence comes from Homo sapiens, assembly GCF_000001405.40. Classification (NCBI taxonomy): domain Eukaryota; kingdom Metazoa; phylum Chordata; class Mammalia; order Primates; family Hominidae; genus Homo; species Homo sapiens. Next base: position 126,858,035 of record NC_000003.12, on the reverse strand, counting down.
TTCAGGGCTATCGTGAATGACACTACCATGGACATTCTACAGCCTCTCTTCTGGTGAACCTGGGGGCACATCTGGTGAACCTGGGGGCACATGCAGAATGCTAGGTCCTGGGGCATACCCATGTTCAGCTTTAAAAGATGCTGGCTATCGATCTTCCACAGTGGCTATGCCAACTTACACTCCACCAATGGTGTCTCAGAGTTTAGGTTAAACCACATCCTTGCCAGCACTTGGAGCTGCCTGTCTTTTCCACTTTGGCCATTCTTCCGAGTGTGCAATGGTATCATGTTGTGGTTGTAATTTGCATTTCCCTGATATGTAGTGAGGCTGAGCTCTTTTCACATTTGCTGACCACTCCTTTTCCTGTGAAGTGGAAATCCTATATTTAATTCCTCCTCCAAACACCTTGTGTAGCTTGTGTTTCCCTACACACCAAGGGACAAGGCAGAGACCAGTGTGCCTGGGATAGGGACGTCTGTTGAGCGGTGTCAGTGAGAAAACAGCAGGGCTCTCGGGATCAGATGATGGTCTTCTCTTAAGAAAGTTCGATCGGCAGCAGGGAGTACAATGGGGGAAAGGGCTGACTGCTCAGAGGCAGTGCAGGGAAGCATCTGAAAGGTACAGGGAGGAAGACTTCAATCCTGGGGAAAGGAGACAAAGTCCAGGAAGAATACATTTCTCCCTTTCTTCCTGACTTGGTTTTTGATGCTAACCCTGAAAAAGACCTTCTCCACTTCATAGCTGCTGAGTTTGGATAAAGTGAGACGAAGCGTTTCACAGAGCTGGGAGGTCCTCTACTCACAGGAAGCCTGCATATGGGCATCCTCCCATCTGGCATCCTAATCCTCGGCATCTCCCTTCCCTCCCAAACCTGACTGTGGGTTTCATGAGGCAGGAGCCACAGCTGTCTGAGCCATCTCTGCACCTGGCATTTAGCAGACTTAAATTGATGTGGAGTAAATGAAGGCCAGGCATTTATTAAAGAGGAGGAAGAGGACAGAAATAACATGAAAGAGGACTGGATACTAAGGTCAGGTACTCTGATGGTTGCTTTACACAAACTACCACTCACCCCAAAACAGCTGGCAGGTTAGTCCTAAATCCCCATTTCAAAGATAAGGAAACTGAGGCTAGAGAACATAATGACATGCTCAGGGTCACAAGGCTGCTTACATGACTGAGGCAGAACTAAACTGAGGTCTGCTGGACCCCAAAGCCTACTCATCCCTACCACCCTACTCAGCTCCATGGTTGACTGAAGACAAGGGCTTGGCCAGCCACAAGTGGTCAACTCCATGGGCTCTCAGGGTCTTCTTCAGAGCCACCCAGCACCAAGGTTTCTACTAGGAGACGATAAAGTGTGGGGGTTCTGAAGAGGCACAAGTCCCCTTAGCCCCATAATACCTGAATCCAGGCATGGTGTGAGTAAATCCCACTCCTACTTCTTTTGCTTCCTGCAGAAAATTACAAACTGGCAACTGAGCAAAGGCTCTGGAGCCAGGTGTGCAGTGGGAGCACAGCTAAGATGGCAAGGGGTTCAGCGGCCATGACTCAAGCCAGCACAAGCAGTCGAGGGTCTCACCTTCCTGGTCCATGTGCCTGTATGGCAGATGCACCTGAATGTGTGTTTGGAGTTCTGAGCTAAGGAATCTGGGAATGGCCAACCCAGAGATCCATTCCTTATCTACAAGGAACATCTGAACCACCGGCCCTTGTGAAGTGAAAATCCATGGAACACAGCTGTACAGGGCATTGAGGCCCTTTGTTTTGGGTTAAATCAAGCTTGTCCAACCCATGGGCCAGGGGCTGCATGCAGCCCAGGAAGGCTTTGAATGTGGCCCAAAACAGTCATAAACTTTCTTAAAACATTATGAGATTTTGTGATTTTTTTTGTTTGTTTGTTTTTGTTTTTTAGCTCATCAGCCATCATTAGTGTTAGTGTATTTTGTGTGGCCCAAGACAATTCTCCCTCCAGTGTGGCCTAAGGAAGCCAAGAGATTGGCCACCCCTGGGTTTAAATGAAGGTTGCCAGGTAGAACCTGTTAGGGAGAGTGCTAAGTGAAAATGCTATGGAAACTACATGCTCTTTGTGAGCAGTGGTTTGCTTGCTCAGCCGGCCATGGGACCTTGCGGTTCTCCTGTCCATCCCACTGCCACTGGACTGTCCCTGTATGTAACTTTTCTGCAAATAAAACCCGATGTCTCATTTGCCGGCTCTGAGGCTCTTGTTTGAGCTCTCAAACATGGTGCCATCCCTACTGAAGTTAATAGGGGTCCCGTGCAAAGATGCCTACAGAAATGGACAAAGGCCTTGTTCTGTGACACTGTCAGATGTGCAGACATACCTGGGGATTGCATGGCCCCAGCCCAGTGGATACTGCAAGACCATCAGAGAAAAGCCCGATGCAGCCCAGAGAGAAGGCTTCCCCATCCCAGAGAGCAGGTGTTGGGGTCAGGCCACCTTTAATGATAAAAATCCATCTCAGCATGCATATATGTGTGCATGCACACATGCTCATCCATTAATCCAAACCTGAAGCACTGTGACATGAAACAGAGCCCCCAGTACTGCTGTGCACCAGGGAAGGAGCCAGCACTTGCCAGGCGCCCAGCACGCACCAACACTTTTACAGGTGTTATTTCCCTTAATCCTCCCATTAACTCCCAGCAGAAAGCATTAGCATCTCCATTTTACAGATGGAGAAACCGAGCTGAAAGGAGGCACAGTGACTGAATTGCTGTGTGGGAGCCAAGGCTCATGGGCTCTGGTGCCCACACTCCATCAGTTACACCATACTCAAAGTTCAGGCTGCTTCTTCAGGTGCCATAAGACCCTCACAAGGCCCCTGTCTGTGTCAACAGCTCACTGCTTTCTATGGGGAAATGGAAACAATATTCCTCACTCAGATCTTGCAGTGTGGCTGTGAGGAACAATTACTCAGAAGGATTATAAAGCACAGGAGCCCTACAAAATGAGATTTCCATGCTCAAGAATAATCATCTAGGAAATAAATACTGCAGACAAAAGGGTCCATAAGTCTCTTCCTCCTTGAAAATGAGTCTGGATTTTGTGCAGGCTTTCCTTACCTGCCAGTCTCAACAGGTAGAAGGTGGAGGCTGACCAGCTTCCACGGTGGACGGCCGCAGGATTCCACCCAGCCCCTTGGATACACCATGGCTTGGCCAACAGCCCCAGGTCTCAGCCTCCCCATCTCAACCTGCTCTCACCCGGGACTGTACTCTGAGCTATTTTGGGTGGTCAAGGATGATGCAGCAGCTTATCCAACTTTCCCCGAAACAGGTTTTTACTGTCAGTTCTAAACTTAAAGGAAATAGGGGGAAAAAGGAAAGGGATGTGATGATTGGGAAGTCCTGGAGCCGTGTGTACAGAAGCTGGAAATGTCAAGGTCTGCGAGTATTCAACAAATGAAAGTGGAATCATATAAAAGCAACAGCTAATAAAAAAAGATTGTCAGATGCTGTGTTTTCCATCTTCCCAGCCATTACAGGAATAAAATTATCCGTGGAGAAGATCAAAAACCTTTTTCAAAACTAATACAATTAAGCCTCATTCTTCTGCCTCCTTTCTGCCTCTCCCCCTGGCTCCCCTTTAATCCTCCTATCTCCCACACCAATCTCCATTTCCTGAGATGTTGGAGGTGCTCTCCTTTTTTTTTTATTATCACCAGCAAAATGCTGTGTTTAAGAGTCAGAAAGGAGATCATGCTTTTGCACCTCCTTCTGGAAGCATTTAATAACTCTTCACAATCATCTAGGAAACCTCGATTTTTAAAAAGCCCACACCTGCATATGCAAGGAGTTTGGACTTCACTTAATGAAGAGCAAGAAGACTCATCCAGAATTTCCTCTCCTTTAGCAAAGCAGAGACTTGGTTTCTAGGAGGAGAACTAGGGTAGAGATGAGAGGGGAGAATGACAAGAGGAAAACAGATTTTAGAGAGGCAAAAATGCTGCGAGGCTCTTTCCTTTCTGCCTGAAACAGAGATATGTACACATGCCTCTAGCAGCCAAGCCCAGGAAGGGAAACATGGGGAGCACAAAGGAGACCAAAGAATTGCACAAATAAAAAGACAAAACCAAAACCCTGTGCCTATGAACATATCGGCAACTGTGATAATTAGAGCTATGGCTGGTGGAATTTTTTTTACCCTTTTCTGGGATCTCAAATCACAATCCTTGTCATTATAAGCTACAGTCAAACCTGTGCATGAGACTGCTCTGTGAAAGATTTACTTGTTAAGGGCCACTCGGAAAGCAGCTCAGAGGTGCACTGCCATTCCTCAGACTATGGAATATCACCATCAGCACGCTGTGTTCATGGCATGTCAACTCTGGCCATCCCCTAAACACCGGCAAAGGTGGACAAGCAGGTGTTGATGGGGCAAGGAAGAACCTCCCTCTTTTCCCCATGGCCTGGAAATCCAGAAACCCATATTTCTGTCAGCCTCCACTGTGGCATGCCACAGGAGAAAACCCCTGTGGAAATCAGGCCCCTCAAGCAAACTGTCAATTTCAAAGCTCCAAACCATGACAAATGATTTGCGAAGATTTGCCTGCAATAAGCTGATGGCTCAGGTTGCTTGGCATGCTGTCTCAGGCATGAGGGGGAACAATTTTTTTTTAACCTCCCAACCATCCCCTCCCACATTTTAAGCCATTTCTTTGAAAAATCTGTCATGATCCACAAATTAAACCAAAAAATAAGCAAGTTACCAAATGAATTTTCAAGAGTCGTGGTAGGGGTTTTTTTTTTTTTTTTTTAAAGGCATGATGATATGTTTTTAAATCTCATTCATTTCAAAGGCTTATCCTTAGAAAAGCAGTGAGTGTGCAGCCGTAGTGCACTTTGATCTTCCCGACTCCCAGGAGAAAATCAATAATAAAACTTTAATGTATTTGTATAGCAAGACATCACGTTATTATTATTTTTACCAAATGCAGCTTAACTAAAGTGGAAAAGGTATACTGGGACTCAGCACCGCCCTGTGGTGAAAGTGAATTTTTTTCTAAAATTGAACTACCGTAGAGCCAGCCACATTCAACAAAAAAAGGTGGGGCAGGGGGAGACAATTAAAAACCAATTATCTCCATGAATGCAACTTGTTGAAAGGCTCTATTTGGGTGCCTGCTGCAGAATGCAGGAGGGCATGTCCAAGGAGTGACTGGCATCTGGGCGAATGGGCACTGGGTCTGCGGACTCCTCTCTCCCCCCATGACAGTGATGTGTTCTGGTCAGATGCCTTTAGGACCTGGCCCCGAGGAATGCAGCCAAGCAGGAGTCTTACCTTCCTCTCAATACGCTCCAGCTGCTCCTTGTAGAAGGTGTCACGGCGTCTTAGCTCTGCCTCTCTGCTCTCCAGCTCCCTGGCCTGCTTGGAAGAGAACAAAGCCCACGTTAGCCAGCAGCGATGGTGCTGGAATGGTGCTGCAGGGAGAAGGCGACGGACATTTCTGCTCACATTCACAATGAGAACAGTAGCAATAATGAGTTGAAAACCTTATGATATGCCAGATCATTCACATATATTGTGCTTAATTTTCACAACAATCCTTCAAGGTGGGTAATTACTATAGCCACTTCACAGATAAATAACATTTATTGATTATGGGAGTCCTGTTCACAGTTCTCCCACAGTTATTTCCTTTGATCCTTACCACACTTCTAAAGGGCAGGTGGGATCATCATGATCCCCTGCTACAGATGAGAAGCCAGATGACAACAGGGGGCCTAAGTAGTTGTCTGAAAGCTCACAGCTATTCAGAGAGTAGCTGGGGTCTGAACCTTGGTCAATGCAGGTGTGTCCGGCCGCTGGGTGTGCTGCCGTGAGCCACACAGCTATGTGCTGGCCTTGGTGTCTTTATGCTTGGAACCACACCATGCCACAGCCTCATGCTCTGAGCTGGAAGGAGCAGGGATCCATGCCTGCAGGAAGACACGCACAGAGTCAGCTGGAGAGGCGCTGCTTCCTCACCCGCCTGATGGGGATGGTTGAGTCCCTGTTGGAGCACAGGGCCAAGGGCCCTCCCTCCAGATCCAGTTAGGCTGAGGGCTCAGCTCACCAGGGCAAGCAACCTGAGGCTGGCAGATGTCAGGTTGAACCCAGCCCACCCTTAATTAGCTAGGCGACCTTGAACAAGTTCCTGACCTCCAGCTTCCTCAGGCATGATGTGTAAAGCTGGAAGGGATGCATAGCTGTACAGAAGGTTAAAGGAAACCCCAACAGAAGTGGGCAAGGTCTCAATAGACCTCCATAAAGGGTCACCAGCACACGGCAAGGCAGGGATGTAAGTCCCGTCACTGGGATACTCATGTCCCCAGAGTCTCCAGGGGCTTCCCAGGCCTAGGCCCCAGGGCCCGCCTCTACCCTCCATGGGTCAAATGTGGAACAACTCCACACTAAGGGTCAGGATGGAGACAGTCACAGGGGCCTGGGAGCTCAGGACTGCCTTTTGTGACTGTATGGAGGAATAACACCAACTGCTTGTTGTCTGTCCCTATGCTAGGGCTGTGTGCGCTCAGGTATTCCGCTAAGCTCCTGATGACACTGAATCCTCACTACCCACAAGAGCACAAGCTAGCCAGCGGTAGACTGTGAACCTAAGTTCATATGACTTCCAAGTCCTGAGCTTTTTCCTTTTAAGCCACTCTATGGTATCAGCACATGGGTTTGAATCACTCAAAAACATGGGGTAAGACATGAACCCAAGTTTTTGAAAGCCCATCTCCCTGGCAATGCTACTCCTACTGACAGGGAACCTTGCAGAACCACCAGCAGGTTGGTCTGTAATAAGAGCTGACCACTCACTAGTGCCCCTGAGTGCAGAGCACCAGGAGAAAGACTCAGCTGAAAGGGCCACACCAGGCCAGTGGGCTTGGGTGGCTGGCTGAACCCCTGAGAGTTAAGTTCTAACATCGGCTCTATCACTGAGTGGCCTCTAGGAAGCCTGAGCAAGATGCTGTCTTGTCTGTTTTCCCCTTACCTGTATAAGGGAGAAGAAGTAGTAACCTGGATCCCCAGGCAGCTGCAGGGGATCTAAAAATGCCAGGAAGGCTTCTGGAATGCCTCTGGAATGCCAACACTTCAGAAAAGCTAAATACAAACAGTGGGACTAAATGCCAGGAATTTCTCACAGGGCTTTTCAAAGTGTGCTGCTGAAGCTGTGTCCCAGGAATGCAAGCACGGCTAATCTGCGCTGGGCCTCTCAGCGGTCCAGCACTTAACTGTTACCAATCCCTGGTGCAGTGAGAGGAGAAGCTCGTCTGATGCAATTAAACAGCCAGTAAAAGAAAGTCTCTGAGGGCTCTGGACCTGTCATTTTTTGACCAGCAGTCCCAGCCAAGCAGGAAGATGACATCTGAAGGCAAAACCATCATAAGGCTCTTCAGCTGCCATTCTCTACAGTTAAGTGAAGCAGCAGAGACAAGGAGGTGCGTTCACACATCCACCACCATCCCACTGACACACTGCGATGCCTCCTCTGGGCCGTGGCTACCAGGATGCTCATCCTGAAGCTTTCAGGGCCTGTGCCAGCAGGACGTCTATGTGATGAATGGGACGCAGGACTAAAGTGTTGGGTGAAGATGCCTAGCCATCAGCACCTCCTTAGGCTAGAGACTGTTCACACAAACAGGAAGAAACGTTGAGGACATCAAGGCCTACTTTTCTATTCATGTCCAATGCAACACAATTGAGCAGTTAAGAATGAAATGAACTGTGTGGAGAGGGATGAGGCTGTGCCTCCCACTTGAATGAAAACTCCGTGATGTGCACCATATCCCCAACACCTTGGCTTCGTCACAAGTGAGCCACCAGGGTGGTGAGCTCACCGTCTCTAATTCATCTGCTACAAAGCCCTGCCCACTGGCTCTGCTCATCTGAGATTTAGAATGCAATCCCAATGACTGACAATGGACAGGAGGTGACACGAAAAATGGCTGTAGAAACTGAGTATGACACAAATGCCTGTGTGTCAGTGCCTGGCCCAGAGCAGACACTCACTGATCTGGCTGTGAAGTATGGAAGAGCACACTGGGCAGCACCCGCCACTCCACACAGTTGCCCCGCAGTCTCAAATTGGCTTCCTAGCACTCATGAGAGGCCACGCAGCACGCAGCACAACTGTGGTTTCAGTGCCTGAGTGCGTCACTTACCAGAACACCATGAAGGACACCTCTATGTGACAGACAGAATTGTAAAAGGGCTGAGGGCACAACAGGGAAGCCAGAGAGAGAATTTCTGCTATCATGAAGCTTAGATCCCAGTGGGAGACACAAATGTGTGTGCAGATAAATAATTACAGAGAGATGTGCTGGGAAGACCATAAGACAGACTCACTTGTAGGGTTAGCGGGTTGCTATTTTCCCTAAGGAGATTTCTAAGAAAGTCTTCAGGGAAAAATTTTGAAATTAAGAATGTTGACTCTAATATAAAGGTAAAATGTCATCATTATGAACATGTACTTAGCAGATGACAGTCTTTGAATAGAGAATTGAGGGAATCTGCATGATTTGGTCAAGGACCTCCTCCAGTCAACACAACACAGTGAGTTCACACTTTGATGCCTCTACCCTACTCCAAACACATAGCACTGGCAGATAAAATATAGAACAGATGACAAAAAGACACGGACAAGTTCAAAAACAAGATTAAAGTGTCCAATACCAAACAGAAATGCAAAGCAGTGGGTGAGGCTGAAGCCACAGGCCTGCTGGCTCCAAGTCTGGAGCAGGCAGAGGCAGTCAGGAACCCTCTTTATCGTGCAGGGTCAGAATAAACCACATTCCGCACAAGCGGGGGCCTGAAGCCAGGCTGGCGACCTGCAGCCTAGGGATCTCCCTAAAATAAGAAGCTGATATAAAAAACTTCTGAAGACCTCCACTGAGGGCCAGGGTTTTCAGTTTACTTAAACCTAGAAAGCCTGGAAGCTACAGATCCCGCCCCTGGACCACAAATGAACCTAGTCACTCAGTTCCTGGCTCTGCAATATCACCAGGACCACTGTGGAGACAGGCCTCAGAAGGCCAAAATCAGACCTCGTCCTGCACTGAGGTGCAGGTGTAGGTGACAATAGAAATAGTGAACTTTCCACTCCAAATGAACCTATAAACTGAATCTCAAATATGGGAAGAAATAGAATTTCTAAAAAGGCTACCAATAAAAGCAGTAACTGAAATATGAATTCACTCCAGATGACATTAATTTTATAGGACAATATGACAAAGGATTTCAAAAAACTTTTTATTATGCAAAAATTTAAACACAAGAAAGAATACAATAAAACCCCAGATAGCCATCAGCAAGCTTCAACAATTAGAAACTAAAGAGATCTTCTTTCATCTCTACCCTCTACCTTCTCCACCCCCAGGTTTCTTACAGATCTCTTCATCTACATAGCTTCAATATGTTGCTCTAAAAAATAAGGACTTTTAATTTCTAAAACACAACCATAGTACTATTGCATACCAAAAATAATTTAACATGAATTCTTTAACATCATCAGATATCCAGCTAGCATTACAATCTCCAATTGATGAATAATTTTAAATATGCATGTTTAAGTTGCTCAGAAAGGTAAAACGAAGTAACTTCTGATTTACAAAAAAGAAATTATGAACCTGAAACAGGCTAACCACCAAATAGGTAAAGATTATACATTTAAAATCTACAAAATAAAAAATGAAATGGATAAGACAAACTCTAAGCTGAGAACAACAAGGGAAAAATTATCAAACTGAAATGAAGTACAGAGATTTGAGCAAGAATGTAGTAATAGAAGACAAAGATAAAAAGTCGGGAGGATTGCTTGAGTCCAGGAGCTGGAGACCAGACTGGGCAACAAAGCAAGACTCCATCTTCACAAAAAATAAAAATAAAAAGTTAGTTGGCTATGGTGGCACATGCCCGCTACTTGAGAGGCTGAGGCAGGAGGATTTTTTGGTCCCTGGAGTTTGAGGCTGCGGTGAGTTATGATCGCATCACTGCACTCCAGCCTGGAGAAGAGAGTAAGACTCTGTCTCAAAAATAACAAACCCAAAGATAAAAAGTCTGATAAAAGCTAAGAACTGTGGAAGACAGACTGATGGTCCAGAATGTGTCTAACAGCTGTTTCAGAAGATGAGGAAGGAAAGACTGGAGAGGACAAGGGGGTAAGAGAGGGGAAGGAGGACGGAAGCCAGAGTAGAAGGCAGGTGAGAGGATGGGAGGTGGGCGAGGGGAAGGAGAAAGACACTGGTAGGGGTGACTTAGGGAAAGTGGGAAAGGGGGAGAGGAGAGAGAGGGAGAGAATGGTAAACAGAAAAGACCAAATAAAATTATAGAAATAAGTGTAAGTAAATTGGTTACCACAAAAAGCACACGAAGGGGGCCTCCAAGATGGCCCCTGATGATCTCCACCTCCTAGGCCTCATGCCCCTGTGGGATCTCCTCTTGAGTGTAGGCTGGAACTTGAGACTCATTATTAATAAATAGAATATGGCAAAGTGATGGGATGTCACTTCCAAGATTTAGTTTTAAAAGACAGTGATTTCTGTCTTGCTCATACTCTTTTCCTTGTTCACACTGATGAGGCAAGCTTCCATTTTATGAGCTGCGTCCACTACCACTGTGAAGACAGGTCTCAGAAGGCCAAAATTACATAGTAAGACACTGAGGGTGGCCACTGAACAACAGCCAGTGAGGACCGGAGGCCCTCAGTCCATCAGTCCTCAAGGAACTGACTCCTGCTCACAGTCACATGAGTGAGCTTGGAAGCAGACCCTCCCCCAGTGGAGCCTTCAAATGAGATAGCAGCCCCGGCAGATACCTTGACTACAAGACCTTAGGGCAGAGGCACCCAGCTAAGCCAGGCCCAGATCCCTGACCCATAGAAACCACAAGATAATAAATGTTTAAGTCACTACATTTTGTAATTTGTTACTTAGTAACTGTTAACTAATATATGAACTGATTAATCTCACCCTTAAAAGAAAAATGATTATCAATTTGGATAAAAGAAAGGAAAAAAACCCTAACGACTTGCTACTTAGAAGAAACCCAAGCCCCCATACTAATGGTCTTACAGAAGAAAAGAAATCCTTTACTGGACATAAATATATAGTGGACTGTCTACTGTTTTATTTTGTTTACACAAAATGTTGAGCATTAAATCAAAACTTTAAAAATACACATACACATACACACACACAAACACGTGTACGTGCGAAAATAATGACCCTCCATATAGAGATAAAATACTGGAACCAGACACATTAATGGCCCAGACTGGAATTAATACAAAGGGACTTTAAATAACTATGATTAATATGTTAAAGAACCTAGTAGAAAAAGGTAAATATCACGTGTGAAGATATAGAGAATTTCCACAGAGTGATAAAACTATCTTGCCTCCATTGTTCATGATGAGAAATCAGTCTTTTATATTATTCAGGATTCCTTGTAGATGATGAGTCACTTCTCTCTTGCTATTTCCAAAATCTTTTCTTTGACTTTGCCTTTTGACAGCTTGATTGTGAAGTACTTAAGTGTGGATCCCTTTGAAATATTGTGCAAAGCCACATACATAGTCTTGGTCTTTTAAAATCCCAGGAATAGTATATGAGCTTTTCAAAGCCTCCTATGGCCACCTCATTCCCTAGCTTTTCTTTTTAAGCTTTCAGGTTACCCTATTGTTTGCCCAAATTGTTATCTACCTCCCCAGGCAGCTATAATATTCAACAATTGCCTCTGCTTGTTTTTGACAAATGTCCTCTGGGAAAAAGCTGTTAGCACTGGGCAACCTCTGAGTCAGGTTGTATAAAGACGGCCTTATAAGTGGGGTCTCTTTCAGGGAATCACCAGACAGGAAAAATAATGACATTTTTCTGGGAATGGGGCTTTGAAGGAGGTCCAACCTTTTTCTGCCCCTTCTGGTGGCTGGCAGGCTGCAAGTCTGCACTGTGCCTGTGGACTACAGGTTTTCAGGGCTACTGTGGTGCTGCAGGGGAAACAGGGATGGGACATGATAAATTAAAATGGCACAAAGCTCACTTTTCTTACTCAGAGTCATTCATTTTTTCTTGAACAAATGCTCCTGGATTGCTGCAAGCCTTTGATCAATTTTCAGAGTTCTGAAAAAATAGATTCTGACTAGTTTTGCCAGTTTTTTCATTGCTTTTATGAAAGAGGATTTTTAGAGACCCTTATTCTACCAGTTTCACTGACACCACCGGAAACTATAAAACAGAACCAAATGGAAATGCTAGAAATCCATTTCTAGCATGATATGGCATGAATTCATGGGTTTATTAGCATATTGGACGGAGCAAAAATCAGTGAACTTGAAAACAAGGCATTATAAATTATCTAAATTAAAACACAAACAGACAAAAGAATGAAAAATGAAATGGAACAGGGCCCCCAAGATTAACAGAACAATATTAAATATCCAAAGCATATATTTAATTGGAGTCCCAGTAGAAGAGAAAAGTGGGGCAAAAGAAATAAAATATATGGCCAAGAATTCTCTGGAGTTGATTGACGACAACTAAGTCTGAGACAACAAATCTGAGAAGCTCAGAAAAATTCCAAGCAGGAAGCTTTTATAAAATTCTTAAATAATTCCTTAAGTAATGGGATATTTTTGAACGTAGATTATGTTTTTGAAAAATAATTTCTAGAGCAACCCTAAAAAAGTAATCTAAAAAGCACAAATAGTCAATAGAGGAGATCACAGAATTCTAAATATATTGACTCATCCCCACTCTCCCCCACCAAAAACAAACCTGCAAGAAAGAAGCAAAGAGGAACAAAGAACAGATGAAACAAACAGAAATCAAACATCAAGATGGCTGACTTAAATAGTCACATCAGAAATTACATCAAATATAAACCAACTTAGCCCTTGTATTAGTTCCTGTTGCTATGGTATGAAATTACCAGAAACTTAGTGGCTTAAAGCAATATAAACGTCTTCTCTTACCATTCTAAAGGTCAGAAGTCTCAAACAGGTCTTATTTGACTACAATCATGCTAGTGGCAGGGCTGTACCTATCAGGGGGGTTCTAGAGAAGAATCTATTTCCTTACCTTTTCCAGTTCTAGCTAGCGGCTACCCCCATTCCTTGGCTCATGGCCTCACATCACACTGACTTCTGCTACCCTTATCATATCTTCTTTTCTGTCTCTCCTGCCTTCCCCCTTCCCTCATAAGGACCTTGACATTACACTGAACCCACCTGGATAACAAAGGATAACCTCCCCATCACATATCCTTAACTTAATCACACCTGCAAAGTTCCTTTTGCCATGTGAGAGAAAACATGCACAGGCTCCAGGTACTAGAAGGTAGAAATCTTTGGGGGGCCATTATTCTTCCTATCACACTCCCCAATGAGAAGGCAAAGTCCTAACTTCGTGTTATTAATAAGAAATAGCTTTTAAATACGAAGACACAAAAATTTGGGGAAAAAAGGAAAAAGATATATTGTGCAAATGCTAAGTATAAAAAAGCTGGTGTAGCTATATTAATATTAGTTAAAGAAGAATTCAAGGCAAAAAATAAGACCAGATATAAAGAGGGGCAGTTCATAATCATAAACGGGACAATTATTCAAGAATAACAATTCTAAATGTATAGGTACTTATAATAAAACTCCTAAATACATAAAGCAAATCTGAGACTAAAGAGGAATATAAATAAATCCACAATCACAGTCAAATACTTTGATCTGCTCTCAAAATATTGATAGAACAAGTAGACAAAAAAATCAACAAGGATATGGAAGATTTGAACAGTATTATCATCCAACGTGACCCAAATGACATGTATACAACACTACATCTAACAACAGCAGGAAACACATGCTTCTCAAATACACATGGAACAGTCACTGAAATGGACCACATCTTGAGCTAATAAGTTTAAAAGGATGAAATCACACAAAGTATGTTCTATGATCACAAAAGGATTAAATTAGAAATTGTAAGACACCCAGAAAATCCTCAAATGTTTAGAAAATAAGCATATTACTAAATAACCCACAAGTCCTAACCAAAAGAAAAAGTAGTTCCTAAAAATAGACTTGGAAATGACAGATAATGCAATTAGCAAATGAGGACTTTAAAACTGCTACTGTAAGCATGTTGAAGGATTTAAAGAAAATGTAAACATAATGATATAAATGGAAGCTACTGAAAAGTACCAAATGGAATTTCAAGAGCTAAAATGAAAGGCTGAAAAAGTGAATACTACCTCAGGAACCTGTGGGACAATTTCAATATCAAGTGGTCTAGCATACATGTAATTGAACTCTTGGGAGGAGACAGTGGTAGTGGAAAAATATTTGAATATTTCAAGAATAGATGAAAAATTCCCAGATGTGTTCAGAAGTATAAACCATAATCCAATAAGCTAAGCTAACCAACTCAACAATATACACAATGTGATGAATGCAGTAATGGAAATATAAAAATTATATATCTGATCATTTAAAAATACATAATTTTCCTTGATTTACAAAACAAAACATAAGCCTTACCCCAAAGAATTTCCCAGTCCAGATGGCTTCACCAATTTTATCAAATATTTAAGGAAGAAATCATACAACTTCTAAGAAAATTCTTTCAGCAAATAGAGGAGGAAACAGTTCCCAACTCATTTTATGAGGCTGCTATAATGATACCAAACCAGTATTCCTCGAGAAAAGAGATGTAAAAATCCTTAATAGAAAAACTGGCAAATCAGTTCCATCAATGTGCAAAAAAGATAATACCCATAACCAACTAGGGTTTACGCCAGCAGGATGCTAGCATAACAACGTACTTCACCACATTAAAAAAGAATAAGAAGACAATCATACGATCATTTTCAATAGATGTAAGAAAAGCATTTGACAAAATATGACATCCATTCATAGAGAAAACTTTTAGAAAACTAGTAATAGAAGAAAGTTTCCTCAACTTGATGAAGGACACGTACCAAAAAAATCTATATATAATATCATGCTTATTGGTGTAATATTGAAGGCTCTTTCCCTAAGACAGCAGAGAAAAAGGTTAAAAAGATTTAGAGTATCTGATTAATAAAATTAACAAGGTTGGTTTAACAGACATATTTCTAGAATCACTACTCCCAAAATTAAATATCTACATTCTTTTACAGAGGAATGGAACATTTTAAAAACATCCCACTCTTGCAGGTCACACCCACCAAAAAAAAAAAAAAAAAAAGAATTTCAGTGCAATGAAAAGGACAGTTAAAATGAGTTGTGGTGAAATGTCTTCTTAAATAATTTGTGGGCTAAGATAAAATAATGATAGAAATTTCAAAATTACAAGAATAAAAGTTCTACGTTTAAAAAAATGTGTGATACAGCTGATGTGGTATCTGTGAGGTAAATGTACTTAAATGCAAAATTGAGATTTAAGCAAATTATTCATTTCATATATGAATAAAATAGGATTCAGATTAAGTGACTTGCTGCATTATCACACAAGAGCAGGACTACGAAGACAGATTCCTGACTCCCAGGTCAGCAACCTCACATTTGGGGACCACGTCATTCCATCCTGAGCTGTGTGCTTTGACAATGTAAAAATCATTGGTGGATCACCAAACTGAACTAATCTAAGAACATGTATTATAACCATGCTTCTCAAATGTTTAAAGTGCATTTGAATCACCCAGTATTTTGATAAAAGGCAGATCCTAGCTTCTAGATTAGTCTAGACTCATCAAAATTGGGCCCAAGATTCTTTGGATCTGGGATGGGCCCAGGGTTAAACAGTTCTTTTTTTTAAAAAAAAGACAGAGTCTCACTCTGTACTCCAAGAAATGTCCCGTGACGTGACCTTGATCTCCTGGGCTTAAGTGATACTTCCACCTCAGCCTCCGGAGTAGCTGGTACTACAGGCGCATGCTGCCATGCCTGGCTAATTTTTTACTTTTATTTTTGGTAGAGACGGGATCGCATTTTGTTGCCCGGGCTGGTCTTGAACTCCTGGGCTCAAGCCATCCTCCCACCTAGGCCTCCCAAAGTGTTGGGATTACAAGTGTGAGCCATTACGCCTGGACTAGATTAAACATTTCCAACATTCCCAAGCAATGGTTTTGTTTTGTTTTGTTTTGAGGCAAGGTCTTGCTCCTTCACCCAGGCTGAAGTTTAGTGGCATGATCACAGCTCACTGCAGCCTCAACTTCCTGGGCTCAAGCAATCTTCCCACCTCAGCCTCCTAGTAGCTGGGATCACAGGCACATGCCACAATGCCCAGTTAATTAAAAAAAAAAATTTTTTTTTTTGGAAAGACGGGGTCTCCCTATGTTGCTGGGCTGATCTCAAACTCCTGGGGTTAAGCGATCCTCCCACCTTGGCCTCCCAAAGTGCTGGGATTACAGGCGTGAGCAACCACGCCCAGCCTAGGTAATGTTACTTTGAGTACTAAGGCACTAGATCATGCTTATGGAAAGATAAATGATGGTTATAGTGAGATCGTCAAAACTCTGCAAGATCCATGATGGGTCTAAATTATGTTCCTCACAACCCTTACTTTAGATTAATGATAATGCACTCTAATTTTAAAAAATAATAAAGAGTAAGGGCTTCAGGGAACAGGCTTTAGACTCAGAAAAAGTTAGATTTGAATACTAGATCTGTCACTTCCTACTTGAGTGACCGTGGTCAAGTCAGAACTTCTCTTGCGGCATTATTCACAATAGCAAAGACTTGGAACCAACCCAAATGTCCAACAATGAGACTGGATTAAGAAAATGTGGCACATATACACCATGGAATACTATGCAGCCATAAAAAATGATGAGTTCATGTCCTTTGTAGGGACATGGATGAAATTGGAAATCATCATTCTCAGTGAGCTATTGCAAGAACAAAAAACCAAACACCGCATATTCTCACTCATAGGTGGGAATTGAACAATGAGATCACATGGACACAGGAAGGGGAATATCACACTCTGGGGACTGTTGTGGGGTGAGGGGAGTGGGGAGGGATAGCATCGGGAGATATACCTAATGCTAGATGACAAATTAGTGGGTGCAGCGCACCAACATGGCACATGTATACATATGTAACTAACCTGCACAATGTGCACATGTACCCTAAAACTTAAAGTATAATAAAAAAAATAAATTAAAAATAAATAAATAAATAAATAAAAAGAACTTCTCTATGCCAGAGTTTCCTAACCCATACAACGGAGAAATTAATATAATCTCTATTTCAAGAGGTTGCAGTGAAGTTAAATAAGATCATACACATAAAGTACTAAACAAATATCTGGTACACTATAATTTTCTTCAAAATAAATGGCAGCCAAGAATTATTTTCATAATAAAAGTGTTATTAAATATTTAATCAGAAAAGAAAATATACCTATCCATGACCATATTAGATAACAGATTTTTAATATAAAAAGGCATATCTCAAGGACAAATATAACTTTGAGATGATATGGGCTAATCTCCACACTTGGAACTGATCCTGAGGTGCCCTGGGATGTTATATGTCAGTATCAGTGTTTTATCTTCCTTCATTACACCTGTCTTCCCTCCCTCTTAATATGTTCATCTATAGTATTAATAACTGTCAGAGTTCTTTCTAAAATGTGTTTTTAGATTTTTTATTGAAATATAATTCACATATCATAAAACCCTTTTAAAATCTATAATGCAGTGGGTTTTAGTACATTCACAAAGTTGTGCAATCATCACAACTATCTCATTTTAGAACATTTTCGTCACCCCTAAAAGAAACTCTGTGTCCAACAGCAGGCAGCTCCCACCTTCCCCTACACTTAGCCCCTAAATGTCCATCAACTAACAGATGAATTTTAAAACGTGGTATATCTATATAATGGAATATCATTCAGCCAGAAAAAACAATGAAGTACTAATACATGCTACAACATAAATTAACCTTGAAAACGTTACGCTAAGTGAAAGAAGCCAGACACGAAAGGCCACATAGTATATGATTCCATTAATATGAAATGTCCAGATTAGGCAAACACATAGAGATAGAAAACAGATGAGTGCTTGCCAAGACCTGGGGGCCGAGGCAGGGGTGATGGGAAGTGACTATTAATGGGAGCAGGGTTTCCATCCAGGTGATGAAAATGTCCTAAACTTAAATTGTGGCAATGGCTGCACAACTCAATGAACACACTAAAAACCATGGAAATGTGTGCTTTAAATGGGTGATTTCATTGTTTATGAATATCTCAATAAAGATGTTAAAAATACATAAGATTACCAAAGAAACGAATTATATTGAAATACAGTTATCAAAATATTAAGAAAAAAAAGCCTGAGGTGGGGAGACCAGTGAGAGAGCCGATGCAGTAATCCAGGTTGGGGAGTATGACAAGGACTGAACTGAGGCTGGGTTGTGGGGTGAGGGGGTTCAACAGGAGAAGACTGACTGATTAGATGCAGCAGGGAAGGGAGGGAGGAAAGCACAATGATCCCTCCAGGTTCCGGCCGAAAATGAGAACTATGTCTACCTATGTTGTAATGATAAATGAAATTAGTGCACCTTATACTTGTATGTCATCTACACACAGCTACATACATTCCCACAGCTAATACAGTATTTAGCATGTGGATATATGGTAATATAAATTTCCAAATTATTGCCAGATGCCAACTTGGCATAGGTATGTTCTTGTGTTTATACAGAGAGATGTCCAAAGAACAAATTTTATGTTCATTTTTCTGTTTACCTGCTTGTACTCTTCCTAAACCATAAATTCCTGGAGGCTGGAGGCTAGGGGCTAAATTGTGTTACCGCTTTATTCCAAGTGACACAGAGTAAATATTCCCTACAAGAATAAAATGGCCAGGCACAGTGGCTCACGTCTATAATCCCAGCATTTTCAGAGGCCAAGGCAGGAGGATCACTTGAGCTCAGGAGTTCAAGACCAGCTCAGGCAATGTAGTGAGACCTTATCTCTACTATTAAAAATAAAAATTAGCTGGGCATAGTGGTGCATGCCTGTAGCCCCAGCTACTCAGGTGGCTGAGGCAGGAGGATCACTTGAGCCCAGGAGATGGAAGCCACAGTGAGCTATGATAATGTCACTGCATGCCGGGCTGAGCAACAGAGCAAGACTGTCTCAAAAAAAAAAAAAAAAGGAAAAAAGAAGGAATAAAATGAATGATGCTGAGAAGTTGATTTTGGGAAAAGGAGATGCTAATCATTAAGACAGTACAGTACACTGTGATGTTTAAGAGGCTTGGGTTCAAATTCTGGCTCTAACAATTATTTGCAATTTCTCTGTGCCTCAGTTTCCTCATAGGGCTGCCATAAGGGTTTGCTGTGATTCTGCCCTGCTGTAGGTGTTCTCAATGCTTGGGCTTGTCTACTATGAGTCTGAAGAAGAAACTATCACCAAGAATCCGTCCCTCCCTTCCTTCCATAAGCCAGCTTGGACAGGTGCACACCATTCCATGAGGTTGGCACAATTCAGAGGGAGATGCAGCTGATTAAGGGACTGCAGAAATGCAGACCTTCCTTCATTGACATCAAATGGGTCCTGCTGAGGCCCAAGCCTGGAAGAGTGAGGAGGGGCAGAGCTGAACAGGCATTGTTGACCCTAGGACCAAGTCCCAGCTCCTTCAAAGGCACAGAAAAATCAGGAGAGGCTGCTTCTCTAGGGTCATCTTCCTCACTTTCCAAAACCACCTACCTGTGCCAGGAGGGAGAGGCAACTCAGAAACATGCCAAGAAGAGGGATGCTCAAAGCCATGTCTTTGTTCCTCATTACACGATACAAATTTTCCAAGAGTCACTGATGCCTCACAAGGAAACTTTGAAAAAACATTCTATTACAAGACCATCTGCTGAAATACTGTAGGCTCTCTGCAGCCCCCATTTCCTTTTATTACCAGGGAAAGCCTCATGAAAATTAGTCTCATTCTGAAGGCTTGTGTCTGCTCATGCTGCTTTCTTCCAAATCTCCACCTGCAGGCTGCAGTGCTGACACTGCTCCCCCGCCCCATCTGCACTGTGGACATGGTGCCCATGGCTGGGAGAATGAGGGAACGGAGGCTTCAGGTGTGAGGGATCACAGGACAGATGGCCTCTCAGGCAACCAGAGCCTGCTCTCCTCCGTGTTGCCCAAGTAAGAAAAGAACAAGACAGCAGGGAAGGAGACGGTGGAAATGCTCAGGGATGGTTAACTCTGTGTATGTCTGACACATTTTATCCAATAAGTACCACATTCTCTGCAGCCTTCCTTCCTCTTAGCAACACCTAGATATTGGTCAGGGCAAAAGCATAATCTTGGTCATGACAAAACAAGAATCAGTGACACCTCATGAAACAACCAGGCATGAATCTATAAAAGCAACAGTGACCATTTATTACCAGTCAGTAAATAATTCCTTAAGTGTTCCATTAACTTATACAATAACCTAGTGAAATAGATATTATTAAACACTATGTATATATGTATGTATGAATGAATGAGACAGGGTCTTGCTCTGCCACCCAGGCTAAAGTACAATAGCATGACCTGGGCTCACCCCAGCCTCGACCTCCTGGGCACAAGCCATCCTCCCACTTCAGCCTCCCGAGTAGCTTGGACTACAAACACACCATGCTTGGCTAATTTTTTAAATTTTGGTGAGATGGGGTCTCACTATGTTGCCTAGGCTGGTGTTGAACTCCTGGGCTCAAGCAATCCTCCTGCCTTGTCATCTTAAAGTGCTAGAATTACAGGGTGAGCCACCACACCCAGGCTAAACCCACTTTAAAGGCAAGAAAAATGAGGCACAGAGTAATGAAGTCACCCAGAGCCACATAATCAATACATGGCAGAGGTAAAGTTTTAAAGTAATGGGCTTCATCTCCTGGTGTAATAAGATCTTACCTGGTATAATTTTCCAAGCAAGGCTATCTTAAGACATCATGATATCATCTCTGCAATGTCTAATAAAGTTCTAGGGCACAAGGATGATAAGGTCGGAAATGAAATGTAGAGCCACTCTGGCGCACAATTCCCTTTAGTGGAGGGCTGGGAGGAACCCCAGATTTGCACAGAGTAACAATTAACCACAAGGGAGCTTGGACCGGTGAAAGCCCAAAGCGATGTCCATTTCTCCTCAGGAAGAGCAGGCCAGTCCCCCGCACTTGCTCCTGGCGTCCAACAGTCCTTACCTGTCGACATCCTCAGCGCACTGTCTTCCTGGGCATGTGCCATGAATTTTGTTCCTCCAGAGCAGAGCCAGCCTGGCTCAGGCAGAACAGCTGAGCCCTGGTCTACACAGGCATACCTAGCTCAGCCAGCACCTCCGTATCCCTGCAGACGCCCTCTCTCCTCTCAGCATCTCCGCACAATCTCTGCTACAGCGCTTTGCCTCTCCCGGTCAGTGTCCCCACTGCTGTTTCACTCTTGTGTGCACTGTCTTCAGTACCAAAATTGTACTGAATGCTTGTGGAACCAGGACAGTTCTAAAAGCCTGGGATCCTGCGATGAATGAGACACACAGGAAGGGATGGACAGATGAACATAAATTAATGAGTGAATGTGGTGTCAGATGGTGATGAAGGGCTGTGAAGAACAGAGTGGCGGTCCAGAGAGGCAGGGGTGAGGACTCATTCATAGGGAATGACCAGAGAAGGTCCCTCTCAGGAGGTGACATTTGAGCTGAGAGCTGCATGACAGGATAGAAGGCCACGAAGATCTTAGGGAAGTTCATTCCCTGCTGAAAAAACCAATGCAAAGGCCTCTGAGTGGGAACAAACATGACATATTCGAGAGACATAACAAACACCATAACAAATACCTGGGAATGGAGTAGGGGAGTGGTGAGACGCAGCATGAAAAACAGGCTGGGGCCTAACGGCGCAGGGCCTTGCAGCCCTGGTGAGGTGGTGCACTGCCTTCTATGAGCACAGGGGCCACTGGAGAGCTCTGAGCAAGATAGCGATATGATCTATTTATTTATTTTTTAAATGCAGCTCATAAAAGCTGAACTGGAAGGCTGCTGCCCAAGAGGACAGACTGATTATCTCCCTTCCCACACCGTGCACTCACATGTACAGGCACACAAAATATTAACTGTGGTTGTGACAGCTGTAGCTACGGAAAGGTGGCAAGGAGAAACCTTTACAGAAGAAATAATATGCGATTTTCTAGCTGAACACCTTTTAAAAAGTAATGCTGGAGAACAGAATCCCTGCCTGTGAGGGAGGCAAGGGCTGTCTTTAGGTACAGGGTAACAGCATGCTGCTTGAAATAAGCAAGAGTCGGGTAAAGCAGAGCTTACTCATGCTTCTAAATCTGCAGGCTGAAAAGAGAGAGATGGGGAGGGAGAAAAGGAGCCAGTGATTCAGCTCTGCTGCCTGCTGCTTCTCACTGCAGCTCCAAACAGTAAGAGTTCAGAGAAGTTGCTCAAACATGACCAGCAACAGACCTATAGTTCCTTGCAGAGAACAGGAGTGATGAACTGCCCAGTCTCCAGGTGGGAAATTCATGAACTGAGCAGAGCCGGCCAGGTGTGTGTGGTCTTCCATGCCCAGAGAATCCCCACTCCTCCCAGCCCCACTCTGATGGCACTTCAGACCTCAGGGATTGTAAGCCCATGAGTCAGAAAGGTTCTCTGGAGAGCCGTGAGGTTAAGGGAGTCAGAGAAGTGGCCCCTACCTGACCAGAGAACAAGCTGCCTGGCCACTGTCACACCCTCAGCCCGTAACGACGTCAGGCAGGCAGGCAGGTGCCCCACACCTACTGGAGGGATCGGGGCTGTGTGGGGAGCACTGTCCTGCCTCTGCTGTTGGCACCTACACCTGGGCTAAGAGGACAACACTGGAGAATAGGGAACTGTTGGCCTGCAGCTAGGGTGGGGCTCACTGGGCCATCTCCATCAGTTAAGCTCTCAGGGGCCCCTCAGGGGCCCCAGAGGCTGGTCAGAAATCTGTTCCAACTGTTTGTGGATCCATCTAGGATCTCCCACCCGGGCTACTTCTCTGGAGAATGGATATTAGAAACTGGAAAAACACTTTTCCTTGACCTAGTCTCAACCAGCTACAAATACTGCCCATGGCACAGCGGAGCTCTTATTCCTCCAGACACACCAGGGCTTCCAGGGCCTGTGCTTCTGGCTCCTACTGTTCTTTGCCAGAAATGTCTCTTTTTCTATACCCTGCCTGCCCAAGTGCTCTGCTGTTGCCGACTGTCAAGGACCCAGCCAACGCTTCCTTCAGCACCCTATTAAATCCCGTGTTGGAGTCTTGGGGAGGTTCTGTCCAATTTCCAAGTAGGAAGCTGTCCTATATCTAAGTGGAGATCAGATATGTATGCTCCTTCTGTCGTGAAGTAGCCAGGGATAGGCACCCCACTTGGACTCGGATAGTCATCATCACACAAAACTGAACCCTGAATAAATGACACAGAAAGGAGGGACTGATAGAGATTGGCTTGACGGAGACCACAGCAACAGCAGTAGTAGCAAGAGTACAATGATGCAACTGGTAGGGCTTCATGACCTAGGAGCTCCCCTGCTTCTGGCCCATTCCCCAGGCCTGGCCCTCCAGCTCCACACCCACAGGCGACCCCCAACAACTTTCCAATTAATTCCCTCTGCTTATGATAGCCAGAGCTGGTTTCTATGGCTATAATCAAAATCCCTGAATGACTTATTTTGTCTTCTCTCTCCATCCAAACAGAACTGTATCATCTATCTGTACTCCCATAGCACTTAAATATATCCTATAATTATTCTAATTATTCTTATATTAATTGGTCTATAGCTATTGATCCCCCTGCAGATACAGGGGCTTCATGAAAGCAGCAGCCCTGAGTCACTTCTGTGTCCCCACACCTGGCATGAAACTTGGTAGGCACATGATGCATAAATATATGTTGAACTGAATTTACACTTTCAAGATACATTGATTATTTCACACATATGATGAATAATTAAGTAACGTTATTGGTAATTCTTTTTTTTTTTTTTTTTTTTTTTTTGAGACGGAGTCTCGCTCTGTCGCCCAGTCTGGAGTGCAGTGGCGGGATCTCGGCTCACTGCAAGCTCCGCCTCCCGGGTTCACGCCATTCTCCTGCCTCAGCCTCCCAAGTAGCTAGGACTACAGGCGCCCGCCACTACGCCCGGCTATTTTTTGTAGTTTTAGTAGAGACGGGGTTTCACCGTTTTAGCCGGGATGGTCTCGATCTCCTGACCTCGTGATCCGCCCGCCTCGGCCTCCCAAAGTGCTGGGATTACAGGCGTGAGCCACCGCGCCCGGCCACGTTATTGGTAATTCTAACAAAAGCAAAACACAGGCCAGCAAATACAGTGCTGTAATTTTCAACAATCTTCTCGAGAGGTTGTATATTTATTCTCCAAGGACTCATCATTATTATACCACTAAGTATTGAGTGGATGCTAGACAAGGGCCCTGAACTCAAGATGGCATAGCTATCAGACAGCAAGGCTGGACTTTCGTAGGTCTACATAGTTGCGAAGCCCACATTCTTCCCACTCGCCACACTGCTTCCCAGTAGGTCTCCATCAAAGACATATCGCGTGCAAAGCACTGTGTGAATGATTCTAACAAAGCTGCTCTTGTTCAAAATATTGTTTAGAAACTGTTTTCAAATTTAACACATTTATGCAGATCTTTAGAAGTGGCAAATCTTCTGTCTTTCAGGGAGGTATTGAGTTTCTGGAAAGAGCTGAGTGTCTGTACCCGTGCCAAGGAAGGAGGCAAGGTGTCCTGAAGGGGTTGGAGCCAGTCACAGTATATGAAATGTACCCCCAACTTCGGAAGGAAACTGTCTCCCTAATATGGCTCCTTAACTAACAAGTCCTTAGAGTACAGGGCTTTTACTCTGCTTTGAGCGCTGAGAGACATATGTATGAGCATGTGCACATGTGCATGTACATGTGTGTGTGCATGTGCATGCAAGTGGCATGTGGGCACATGCATGCACACATGCAACAGACTACTTCCTACTGCCTATGAATACTGTGTCACTATGTGCCTCATTCCTTCCCGTAACTTTCTTAGCCACTTGGGGAGCATCTAGCACAATACGAGGGCTGTATCTGCCAAGTGCATAACCCAAAGTGATGACTGTGAAGGCAAGGGGCTAATGTGAGGTCCTCCCCACCCTTTCCATATCTGTAGACCTTGGCTGGGGGAGAAATTCCCCTCTTGTGGTCCCTTCTCCTTCTGAAAAGGGGTGTGGTGGCCCTAACTCAGCTGGCTCTAATAATTTCTGGTCCCACACCAGCCCTCCCCCTTTCTCTGGGTCAGACCACCAGGAGGCATTACTTGAGTCCTGTTTCCAAAGATGCTACAAAGTGGAAAGAGGAAGTAAAGCACAATGACACATGAAGATGGCAGCAATTCTAAGAACCAAAAGACTCTCCAGTCTTCCTGTATCTTCCTCTTGGCAAAGGCAAGAAAGAATACCATTCTTCCTTTGTAAAACAGGCCCTGAGGACTTCACGGCTCAGAATCTGAGAGGTTTAAGCAGGAAACAAGCAGCACAAGTTTGCAGGAAGGATCTTGCCAGCTTTCATCATCTATTCCACAAATATTCAAAAGCAGCTACTGGATAACTGGCACTGAGTGGGATGTTATGGAGATGGTAGAGACGGCGCCCACCAAGCCTGCAGATGAAGGTGCTCTGCCATTGCTGAACCATGGACACCACCCCTGGATAAGGCTAACTTAGAATAAGAAAAGGCAGTAAGGTTCTGGAGAGAGGAAGAGACAGGAGATATTCATTCAACAGCCTACAATAAGTCCTAGATAAGCCATCATATACATTAACTATTCCATTAGATACTTACAGCCAGAGAGACCTCGTTTTGAATCCCAATTCTGAACCTTGCTAAGTGTGTGGCCCTGGCAGAGCCGCCTTGCCTCTCTGAGCCTCAGTTTCTCTATCTATACTGGGGAAAGGACTAACAGCATCAAGTGTGAAAAGCTCCTGGCACCTCATAAGAGCTGAATAATTGTTAAGTCCTTTTTTTTCCTCTTCTTTAATCAACACCTGTTGGCCAAATATTTTTAGACATATTTGAAAAGCATTTATCCCATCTTTTTATCCCTTGCTCCAGGGAAGATCCCAAGACAGTGACAGCTACCACACCCACTGAGTTAGCCCCTCGCACTCCTCACTCAGCACACAGATTACATGCTCACTGCTCACCTGAGACCAACGATCTTCTCATCTGGACATTAAACCAAACACACTCTTCTTCTTGATGGCAGGAGTTGGGGGTAAAGGATGGCTTGAGTTTTCCCTTCTTCAGTATTGGCAGAGTCTCCCCTTTCGCACGGAAATTTAGAACAATTCTGAAGCACACATATTGAGTATGAGCCTGTTTCCCAGCCTGGGGGACACAGGGCCCATCTTCTGAGTCCAACCGTAAACACGCACATTTTCCACCGCACCAGATATCAGCCTGGGGCTGATCGCCTACAGCCCCAGGAGAGACCTCTGTTAATTTAAGCGTGTTCTGCTGAGCCCTGCTGTGTACAAGGTGTTGTGGGCACTGAGATAGATGAAACAAGGTCTCCACTCATCACTTACATCGAGGAGAGAGACATAAAACTAATTGCAATACAGCACTTAAAATATCACAGAGGTGGCAGAAGAGGCAAGCTTGCCCAACACTGCCTTAGAAGGATTGAGTGAGGCCTGGAGAGGAGGCAGCACGCTAGTTAAAGGCTGGCAGGGCTGGCCGGGTACGGTGGCTTATGCCTGTAATCTCAGCACTTTGGGAGGCCGAGGTGGGCGGATCAAGAGGTCAGGAGATCGAGACCATCCTGGCTAACACAGTGAAACCCTGTCTCTACTAAAAATACAAAAAAAATTAGCCAGGCATGGTGGCGGGCACCTGTAGTCCCAGCTACACGGGAGGCTGAGGCAGGAGAATGGCGTGAACCCGGGAGGTGGAGCTTGCAGTGAGCTGAGATTGCGCCACCACACTCCAGCCTGAGCAAAAGAGTGAGACTATGTCTCAAAAAAAAAAAAAGAAGACTGGCAGGGCCGCCCAGGAGAGAAGCGGGCAAAGCACACAGGGTGCGGCCCCCGAGCAGGCCCTGGTACACTTAGGTGCTGTCCTGTGAGCAGCTGCGCTGCTGCTTTGCTGGAGCCGAGAGTGAGTGAGGAGTGACAGGGAATGAGGCCAGAAAAGGCAGGTGAGCCAACACCCACAGGACCCCAAACATCCGGTCAGGGATCTGGATGCTGTCCTCTGAGTAACAGAGGGACACTCAGAGTTTCACCAAAGGACATGAATATCCAGCACTGCCTCTTCCTAAGGCCAGTCTCTGTCCATGTTAAAAGTAGACTGCAAGAGATGAGGATAAGAAAACCGTGCGGACAACACATGGTTTAGACAAGACACAATGAGACCGGAAACCCAAGTAGCAGCCGTAAAGAGGCTCCTTTATGAAGAGGAATTAAAGTATGAGGAAGAAGGTTTCTACCCCAAAGAAAGGTGAACAGAACACTGGTAGAGCAGGGGGCGAGGAAGACAGCAAGTTCTGTTGTGATCGTGCTGCCCACAGGGCACCTGAGGTCTCCAGCAAGAGGCACCCAGGAGGAAGATGGACTGTGGGTCTCCCCAGGCATGCAGGGTGCATGGCAGCTGAAGCCACAGGGTGAAAGCCTGGCTAAAAATGCCTGCAACCCTTCACTAAGTGCACCCTAAGAGGCTCTAAAGAGGCATAAGATCCAGAGGCCTCCTTTTAGTCTTCACAATCCAGGTGGGGCCCAGTGGCATATAATGACACGAGGTGGCCAACACTAGCATGAACAGTGAAGTGTCCACTTTCCACATGGCAGAAGAACTCCTCCCACACCAGCCCTCCTCTTAGCTCAGGCTGCTACCACAAACACCACACACTGGAGGCTTAAACAACAAACATGATTTATTTATTTATTTAATTTATTTATTTTTTGAGACAGAGTCTCACTCTGTGGCCCAAGCTGGAGTGCAGTGGTGCGATCTCGGCTCACTGCAACCTCTGCCTCCTGAGTTCAAGCAATTCTCCTGTTTCAGCCTCCCAAGTAGCTGGGACTACATGTGCGTGCCACAACACCCAGCTAATTTTTCTATTTTTGGTAGGGGCAGGGTTTCACCATGTTGGCCAGGCTGGTCTTGAACTCCTGACCTCAGGTGATCCACCTGCCTTGGCCTCCCAAAGTGCTGGGATTATAGGTGTGAGCCACCGCACCCAGCCAACAAACATTTATTTCATCACAATTCTGGAGGTGTGAAAGTCCAAGATCAATGTGCCAGCAGATTTGATGTCTGGTAAGGGCTCTCTTCCTACTTGCAGACAGCCACCTTCTTGCTCTGTCGTCACATGATAGAGAGAAAGAGAGCAAGAGAACTCTTGTTTTTTCTAATTCCTATAAAGATACTAATCCTACCATGGAGGCCCCACCCTCATGACTTCCCAAAGCCCCACCTCCATGTACATCACACTGAGGATTAGGGCTTCAACATACGAATTTTGTCAGGACACAAACATTCAGTCCATAACATCTCCTGCAGAAATAAGTGATAGATTCTAGACAAAATATAAAAAACAACCCTCTAAAGGCCCTGGAAAATGACCAAAGGCAAGCAGAAGTTGGAGGAGAGCTGATATGTGGGAGCAGGAAATAGTACCAGGTGAGTTTCCTGTTTTTATGGGTCTTACCTAAGAGCTGGCTTCATTTGGTGCCACATTGGGAGGCTAGAGATCAAACAGAAAACCAGAAATCTGAGTCTGAGGATGGTGCAGCATCTGGAGAGTGAGGGGGAACTCCCCAGAAAGGAGAGTTCCACAACCTGCATAGAAACTCTGCCCTAATCTCTGGCTGATCACTGAACTACATACATATAGGGCAAAATTTGTGGTATGCAATAAAAACGGTCATTAGAGGGAATTTGGCAGCTTTAAACCTCTATATTAGAAAAGAAGGTGCCAAATCTATGATTTATAGTTTCACTTTAAGAAGGTTTAGGAAATAACCCCAGCTAATTAAACCCGAAGTAAGCAGAAGAAAAGAAGTAATAAACATAGGAGTGGAAATCAATGAAATCAAAAGCAAACAATAGGAAAAAAATAAAGTCAAAAATTGGTTCTTTGAAAAGATCAACAAAATTTATAAATTCCTAGCCAGAATGAGCAAAACAAAAAGGGGAACGCAATGATCAACAGCTGGAATGAAAGGGGGGACATTACCGAGTGGTACAAATAGTGCAGCCTCCTGGGAGCAGAGCTGCTAAGATGACTTTGAGGAGGGCCTCTCCTGAAAGGCAGGTAGACCCTGGACTGAAGGGGTACTGGAATAAACACTTAAAATGTTCTAATGCCAACATACATTCCCCCTCCAAAACAGGATGTTCCTCCTTCACCAAAGATCACATGGACTCCCTTGAGGGCAATCATAAGCAGAGGCCCCAGAGATAAACCACTGGTGTCCTGTCCCATCCGACAGGACGGGCCTGCAACACAGAAGCCCTGCTTCCCAGATTTCAGAGTGGCCTCTGTCCAGGCCTGATTTGCCAGCTGCGTCAGTTCCGGGAGCCTCCCGTGTTCCCTCACACACTCCCTTTTACTTAAGTTAGCCAGAGCTGATTTCTGTTGTTTCCAACCAAAGAACTCCAACTGATACTGGAGGCCTGGGCATCCCCAGTCAGGACAAAAAACAGGGACATGGAGTACAGCACTGAAGCCAGTGGGAAGAGAATCAGCCAAGGTTGAGTTGTTGGGACCTGTGGAGCATCCAAGAGAAGATGTGAAGTGCACCACTGGTTTCGTAGGGTAGAGCTTTGGCAGAGTCCTTAGCTTACAGAAGATAACTGAAACCACGAGGTAAGATGAAATTTCCAGGGAAAACACACAGTCTTCAAAGAGAGAGGCTGAGGATGTAAGCTTGGGGAGCCCAATCGTCATGGTGGGAAGGAGAGGAGGATGCACCGAAGAGACAGAGAGGGACAAGGCCAAGGAGTTGCAGAAGGGGACCAGGAAAGGCTTCCCAGAAGAAACGAGACCTGAGACTTGAAGAATAAATAGGAGTTAATAGGTGAAGGATGTTCAGAGGGGCACAGGGAGGAGAGAGCCAAATAGGAGGAAGCTACAGTGTGCCATGAGAAGGGAGCAAGAATTTGACATTTCTGAACATGTGCTCTGGGCCAGACCCTGAAGAGAACAAACTCTCTGGCTTATTTTCTGCAGCCTCCCTCCACTCCACCCCTGCCCCACCTTGCTGGGATGAAAGCTTGTTCTCCTTTACTTTCCAGGCTCAATTAACAGCACAACCATTCATCTATATCTTTTTCTTGCTCAAAAATCCCATTCTCCTCTAACTTTGTAACAACAATAGTGATTGGCACATGGTGAAAGATCCCAGATGACAGTGGCATCTCAGAAGACTTCACAGGTTCTCCATGTCAGAGCCCAAGAAAGGTTAAAGAAGGTGAAGCCCTAACCCCACATCCCCAAGCCACACCAGGTTGTTTCTGGAACTGTGTTCCTGGAAGGCACCCTAGGGCTGCTGCAGCACAAGGCTGATTGGGCAGTCAGATGGGCCCTCCATCCTTCCCTCCACCAAGGCAACCTCATGTGGACTTTTCCTGCTACACACTCCTGAATCATTCTTTCTATTTCCCATCATTCATTCTGGCTCAGGCCACATCAACTGTCTCCCAGATGACGCATGGCAGCCTGGAACTGCTTTCATCCTCCAACCTCTCTGTGCTCTGGAACACTCCTCATACTGCAGCAAGAATAATATTCCCAGGACACACATCTGATTGTGTCATTTCCTTGCATGAAGCCTTCAATAGTTGCACAATGCCCAGAGAATAAGGTCCAAGCCTTCTTAAAATGGCTTTTGAGAGCCTAAAGAATCTGGTTCTTGCTCACCTCTCCAGTGTCATTCTTCCCCCTTGCCTCCAACTTCTTTGGCATCCTTTGACATGCCAAATTCTTGCTCTCACCTCCTGGCACACCATAGCTTCCTCCTACTTGGTTCTCTCCTCCCTGTGGCCCCCCACAAACATCCTTCACCTGTTAATTCCTATTTACTCTCCAAGTCTCAGGTCTCATTTCCTCTGGCAGCCTTCCCTGGTCCCTCAGGCCCACACATCCTTTCTGTGGACCAGAGAACTCTCAGTTTCCACTACCACCGTAGTCACTGGCTGGATCTTGTCCTAATTCTGCAAAAATTGGCCACACTGTGGATGTTGAAGCTCGGGGTCATGCCAAAAAGGAGGCCTTAGTAGTAGATTCCTAGTGTCAACACAGTGTGGTGACAAACATCTGTTTAGGAGTCAAAGGACATGGTCTCTAGTCTCCACTTTTATTATTAGATATATATATATAAGATCCTACATAAGTGACAATCTCTCTAGGCCTCAGTTTCCCCATCTAACTCAGGGAAATAATGATGCCTCCTTCTGCCGCCATTACAAGGACACAATTATATAACACACACAGAGAGCCTAACATAATGGTAGGCAAATACAAGGCAATGACTATTAGTGTCTCCTCACACACAAAACAGGAAAGGGAACTTACCAATAGCTAGCCTTCAGAATATGAAAATACCCCTTCTCTCTACTTACTGAATACTTGCTACTGCCAAATATGAAGATAAAAGCTTCCTCCTGGGTCCTTGCTGTCCAAATACTCACAATCCACACATGACTGTATTTATAAGACTGCATAGGTAAAAGGCATCATCATAAAAACTTTTCACCAAGGAACTCACCACTTATAAACTGGTCTCCAATAATATATTTCCACCCATCACATCAGCCTTTCTAAGCCCTGGACAATGGAATTATGTCCATGCAAGAGAAAATAAAACCAAGACTTGTTTGAGAAGCCAAATCCTCTTCTGGAATATCTTAGTATTGGTGTTACCTTGAATCATTCAAATAAAGGCTTTACCCGGCTACTTCATTTGATGAAGGGGGAAGTTTCTGTGGAGATTACTTCTTGAGTATTTTTATTAGCAGGTCTACCAAAATCTAGAATTATGAAAGGAGACATCCTGTGGGATGATAGAACACTACAAAAAATTTGGAAAGAGTCCTTCAGAGAGAAGAAAATGATGACAACTGGAAGCACAGAATTGCTAGAAAGAAATAAACAGCAGTGGAAAGAGTAAACGTGTTTGTTGCATCGTTCTGGAAATGGTAACCCACAGGTTGTTAGACCAAATTGAAAAGAAGAGAAAGACAAGTTATATGCTATCTGCAAGAGATACACCTTTAACTATAAAGAGCGTGAGAAGGTGAAAAAAGGATGGAAAATGATACACCATGCAAACACTAAAAGAAAGTTAAAGTAGTAAAGTTAACATTAAAGTAGACTTTAAGGGAAGAAGTATCACTAGAGATAAAGAAAGATATTTTACAAAGACAAAAGAATCATTTTGGCACAAATATATAGAGTCCCAGATTTATATACATCTAATAATTATTTGCATATTTATTATTTAAAGTAAAAGTTGACAGAACGGATGGACAAACCCACAAACATAAATGAAGACTGGATACTCTGTGACTGATAGCAGACCAAAAAAAGTAAGAAAAAGAGAAAATCTGAATGACACAATCAAGTCAACCGAATTGACATATACAGAACACTACAACCAACAACTGTAAAAACAAAATCACGTTACTTTCAAGCGCAATGGAACATTTTCCAGAACAGAGCATATACAAGGCCTTATGATAAAATACATCCCAACACATTTCTCTGAAATCATACAATGTATATTATTTAAGTACCATGAAATTAAACTAGAAATAAATAACAGAAAGATAGCTATGTAACTATAAAAGTCCCCACACTAGAAGCAGTATACACATAATAATATATACCTCAAATTCAAAAAAAAATCAAAATAGATTAGAAAATATTTTGAGGTAAATGATGAAAATGTGATATACCAAATTGTGGAAAAAAGCAAAAGCTGTGCCTAAAGGAAAAATTATAGCCTTAAAAGACTATACTAGAGAAGAATGGTTTAAAATCAATCTAAGTTCCCACCTTGAGAAGTTAGAAAAAGAACAGCAAAATAATGCCAAAGAGAATAGAAGACAATAAATAGTAAAGGATACAAATCAATGACATAGAAAATAAGTGTACAATTAAGAAAATCAAGAAAGTCAGGCCGGGCACAGTGGCTCACACCTGTAATCCCAGCACTTTGGGAGGCTGAGGTGGGCGGATCACCTGAGATTGGGAGTTCGAGACCAGCCTGGCCAACATGGTGAAATCCCGTCTCTGCTAAAAATACAAAAATTACCCAAGTGTGGTGGCGTAATCCCAGCTACTCAGGAGGCTGAGGCAGGAGAATCAATTGAACCTGTAAGGCAGAGGTTATGGTGAGCCGAGATCGTGCCATTTCATTCCAGCCTGAGCAACAAGAGTGAAGGTCCGTCTCAAAAATAAAACCAACATTTGACTTTTTTTTTTTTTTTTTTTTTGAGACAGAGTCTTGCTCTATCACCTAGGCTGGAGTGCAGTGGCTTGATCTCGGCTCACTGCCACCTCTGCCTCCCGGGTTCAAGCGATTCTCCTGCTTCAGTCTCCCGAGTAGCTGAGATTACAGGCACGCACCACCACACCCAGCTAATTTTGTAGTTTTAGCAGAGACGGGGCTTCTCCATGTTGGTCAGGCTGGTCTCGAACTCCCGACTTCAGGTGATCCGCACACCTCAGCCTCCCAAAGTACTGGGATTACAGGCCTGAGCCACTGTGCCCGGCCAAATGTTGGTTCTTAAAGATTTAAGAACCAGCATTTGATAAAACTCTCAGCAATAGAAATTGGGAACAGAAATTCGATAGAGTATCTAAAAAAACCTACCAGCTAACAACATAATTAATGATGAAATATTGAACATTTCCCTCTTATGTCCACAATTAAGAGAAAAATATGCACTATAATTATTTTTTATTTTTATTTTTTAGAAACAAAATCTCACTCTGTCACTCAGGCTAGAATGCAGTGGTGTGGCGATTATAGCTCACTGTAGCCTCAAATTCCAGGACTCATGTGAACCTCCTGCTTCAGCACCCTGAGTAGCTGGGACTATAGGCACGTGCCACCACACCCAGATAATGTGGGTGTGTGTGTGTGTGTTTTTGTTTTTGTTTTTGTTTTTGTAGAGATAGGGTGTTGCTATGTTGCCCAACTGGTCTCAAACTCCTGGGCTCAAGCAATCCTCCTGCCTCGGCCTCTGAAAGTGCTGGGATTATAGGCGTGAGCCACCATGCCTGGCCATACTATAATAACTTCTATTCAAAACTGTACTGGAGTTCCAGCCAGTGGAACAAGGTAAGAAATGGAATTCTTAAAATTCCAACCTTTAGAATGGAAGAAAAAAAGTAAAATTGATAGGACTTTTAGATGACATGACTATATATGTAGAAAAACTTAAGAACTACACAATACATGAACTAGTAAGTCAATTTATCAAAGTCAATACATAAAAATCAATTATATTCCTATATACTAACAAGAAATAAAAAATTAAAAGCAATAGTATTTTCATTAGCATCCAAAAATAAAACCCTTAGGAATAAATATAACAAAAAATATCTAAGATCACTACAGAGAAATATATGAAACATTGTTGAAGAGACCTGCACAAATGGATATACATATAATGAACTGAAAGACTCAAGATTGCTAAGTTGTCAATTCTCTACAAATTGATCTATAAATTGATCTATAGATGTTAATCTGACAAGTTTGATTCTGAAATTGATACAGAAATACAAAGGACCTAGAAAAGACAAGATAATTTTGATTTAAACAAAACAAAATTGGCTAGGTGTGATGGCTCACGCCTGTAATCCTAGCAGTTTGTGAGGCCGAGGTGGGAGGATTACTTGAGCCCAGGAGTCTGAGACCAGCCTGGGCAACACAGGGAGATACCGCCTCTACCAACAAACAAAACAAAACAAAACAACTGGCAGGGTGTGGTGATGTGTGCCTGTAGTCCCAGCTACCCAAGAGGCTGATGTGGGAGGACTGCCTAAGCCTGGGAGGCTGAGGCTGCAGTGAGCCACAGTCATGCCACCGCACTCCAGCCTGGGTGACAGAGTGGGACCTTGCCTCAAAAAAAAAAGGGATGAATATACAAGATATACAAGATAATTACAACTACCATAAAGCTACAATAATTAATAAAGAGTGTTACTAACACAGATCATTTGAACTAGACACAGTCTAGAAACAATCCACACATACAGAGTCAAGTGATTAATGACAAAGGCCCTCCTGCAATTCGGTGAGGAATGATTGTTTTAATAAAAATTGATATTCCTACCTAATACTTATATAAAATTTAATTCACAGTGATCAGAGACCTAAATGAGAAAGATTTAACTGATCTACAGATTCAATACATTTCCTATCAAAATCTCAGCTGCCTTTTTGTTTTTCAGAAATAGAAAAATCCATCCTAAAATCCATAGAAAATTTCAAGGAATCCCAAATAATCTAAATTGTCAGGGAAAATAAACAGAAGTAGAGGACTCACATCTCTTGATTTCAAGCCTTACTATAAAGTCCAGTAATCAAGACAGTGTGGTACTGGCATAAGGACATAGAGATACATGGACTGGAATTCTGAGTCCAAAAATAAATATAATCAACCCTTATATTTACATTCAATTGATTTTCAACAAAGGTGCCAATTCCACACAATGAGAGGAAAAAAATAGTCTTTTCAACAGATGATGCTAATAAACTGAATTTCTATATGCAAATGAAATAAACTAGACCCCAACCTCACACCATATACAAAAACTAACTCAAAATGGATTAAAGACCCAAATGTAACAGCTAGAATTATAAAGCTTTATAAAACACAGGAATCCCTCTTCATGACCTTAAACTGGGCAATGGATTTTTATAGATACGTGTTTTACAAAAACACAAGTAACCAAAGAAAAAATAGGTAAGTTGAATTTCATCGAAATTAAAAACCTTTGTGCTTCAAAACACACCATGAAGAAAGCAAAAAGTTACCCCATAGAATGAGTGAAAATATTTATGTATCTAATAAGGAACTTGTATCCAGGACATATAAAAAATTCTCCAACTCAGAAATAAAAAGACATATAAACTAATATGGGCAAAGGAATTGAATAGACATTTCTTCAAAGAAGATATATAAATGGTCAATAAGCACATGAAAAGATGTTCAGTATCACTAACCTTAGAGAAATGCAAATCAAAACCACAATGAGATACCACTTCACACTCACTACAATAGTTATAATCAAACAGACAGACAAGAACAAGCATGAGGTGGGATTAGTTATAATCAAACAGACAGACAAGAACAAGCATGAGGTGGGATGTGGGAAACTGGAACCGTCATATACTCCTTTGGAAAACAGTCTAGCAGTTCTTCAAAAATTTAAACTTAAGAGTTATCATAGGCCAGGTGTGCTGGCTCATGCCTGTAATCCTGGCAATTTGGGAGGCCAAGGCAGGTGGATTGCAAGGTCAGGAGTTTGAGACCAGCCTGGCCAACATAGTGAAATCCCGTCTCTACTAAAAATACAAAAAATTAGCCAGGGGTGGTGGGCACCTGTAATCCCAGCTACTCGGGAGGCTCAGTAAGGCAGGAGAATTGCTTGAACCCAGGAGGCAGAGGCAATGAGCCAAGATTGTGCCACTGCACTCCAGCATTATCATATATCTGAGTAATTCTACTGAGAAATTAACATGCAAGGGAATTAAAAATATATGTCCAACTAAAACTCATTTTAAATGTTCTTAAACAACCCAAATGTCCATCGATTGGCAAATGGAAAAAATAAAATGTGGTCTATCTATACAACAGAATATTATTCAGCCATCAAAAGGAATAAAGCACTGATACATGCTACAATATGGATGAACCTTGAGAATATTATGCTTAGTGAAAGAAGCCAACCACAAAGGCCACATATTGTATGGCCTTAAATATTTACATGAAATGTCCAGAATAGGCAAATCCACAGATACAGAAAATACAGCAATGCTTTCCATGGGTTAGGGCTGAAGGGTGAGGGGGAATTACTGCTGATGGGCATGGGGTTCTGGGGAGTGATGTAAAGATACTCTGGAACTAGAGAATGGTTACTGGTGCACAATTCTGCGAATATACTAAAAACAATGAACAGTACACTGCATCTCCACTAGAATAGTGAACATTAAGACAACTGACAGCAGAAAATGGTGGTAGGAATGTGGAGTACATTACTGGAGGGAAAGTAAACTGATATAACCACTTCAGAAAAATGTTCAGCAGTATCCACTAAAGCTAAAAGCGCATATACTCTGAGACCCAGCAATTGTACTTCTGAGTCTTTACTTTCTCAATAAAAGTAAAGGCTTATGTCCACCAAAACACACACACACAAATATTCATAGCAGCATTATAAATTGTGGTATAGTCAGGCAAGGAAATACTATACGGCAATGGAAAAGAACAAACTACTGCTAAATACATGGGTGAACCTCACAGACGTCACAGAGAGCCAGAAAAACCAGAAAGCCAGGAACACTGTCCTGTATTCTTCCAAGTCCACAGAGCGCAAGAGCAGGCAAACCAATCCATGGCAGCAGAGGTCCAAGTAGCGGTTCTCTTTGGAGAGTAATGATTAGAAGAGGGTCCTCAGGAACCTTATGTGATTCTAGAAATGGTCTATATCTTGATCCAGGTCATGATTACACCTATGTAAAGAGGCTGTGATTACACCTATGTAAAGATGTGCAGACCTGGTGACTTAAAATTTACATGTTTACTGTTATACCTCAATAAAATACATATTAAAAGAATATGTTGACCAACCACTGTGGCCAGAGAGGCCAAAGAAAGAAAATACAGCTCCCATTACAGTAAGTGTCTCTAGTGGAGATGGGCAGTTTCCTGGAAAAAAATAGGTCATGGCATGGGACAGGATAGTTATGGCCTCTAGAGGCATCAATGAGAGCCCATCAAGAATATACAGTAAGTAGCAGAGCTGAGATTTGAACCCAGGTCTGCCTCTGAAGCTGGTTCTTCCCACTAAGCTACAGTTTCCTATGATGAAACAAAGCCCAGACAGCTGACCAGACAAAAGCCTCCCAGGCTCCCTCAGTCAGTTTTTCCGAAAATTTCCTTATTAGCAGAGAATTCTCCTTCAGAGCAAAGTCCCGTAATCTTGAAAGCCAGAATTTTAACCCAGGCATGCTGCCTTTCCATGTTCTCTACGCCACAGTGACTCCAGGGCTTGTAGGTCCAATCCCCGCTGTGTGCATACCATCAAAAGCAAATGCTGACATGCAGCCAGACGTCCATTTAGAGACCTATTTGCCAAGAGTCTTCTACCAGGTGTGGCCACTGATCATCTCAGTCAACTCACAGATGCTGAGGGCTAAGGATAGGACAGCAGTTTTCTGGAGGGCTGTGAAGGCTTGGCCAGCTGGCTTCCATACCTCCATGGCAGTCATTGCCTGGCTATGAACTACGGTCTGACGCTGAGGGATAGGACACTCAGGACTGTCATACTGCTGCATGCATAGCCTCCTCATAGGAAGGACCTAAGAGGTGAACAAGTCTTTTTCTTTGCAAAGAATCTTCTAGCTTTGCCAGATTCCACCATGTTACCTTCATACAGCATCCAGAAACCTGGCTGGCAAGGCACTCTGATATTAGACAGTGGGCAAGGAAGGTCAAGCTGCCCAGCAATAAGTCCCACATACCAATCTGGGATTGATGGGCTCAGAGAACAGCGGCTGTGCACTCCTGGGTGGCTGTCAGAATTCAGGCCTACTGTGCCTGCCCCTGGTCTCAGCATAGTTTGTTACCAAACAATCTGGAAAAAAAGCCAGAAACCAGGAGCTTACAACCCCGCCTTTCCATCATGAAGCAGTGTGGCAGGAGTTTAGAGTATGGGCTGGTTTACAGAAAGGAAGCAAGTGTCTGTCACCCATAGAATGCATGGGGTGGGGACAGCCAGTGGAAGCGGAGGCCCCTATAAGATACAACAGGGGCTGCTG
Source organism: Homo sapiens (assembly GCF_000001405.40). NCBI lineage: Eukaryota > Metazoa > Chordata > Mammalia > Primates > Hominidae > Homo > Homo sapiens. The sequence goes on along the minus strand of NC_000003.12, from coordinate 126,819,002 downwards.
CTATCATTCTGGCAGCTTCAAGCTGACCTGCTGCACTGCTCCTTAGCAAACATTCACTCATCCCTCCACAGTTGCCACGTAGGCCTAGGAGCAGATGCAGTGGGCATGCACACCACAGCCCCACCAGCCGCTGTCCCAGTCAGCTGCTCACATCAGGCCTGCTTTAAACCCACTGCCAATGCCATGAGGCCTGTTGCAGGAGGAACCGAGATTTCACAGACAACAGAATCAGATGATGGGGAGATGCAAAGGGCCAGGACTGCTGTTTGATGATCCCCTGCTGAGAAACGGTCCTTGGTAATGAGGCCCACTGCCTTTCAGGAAGAGACCTGCGGCACTAGGTAATGGTGGCCAATCCACTCAGCCTCTGTGGGCAGGAGAGTTCATCTTCTTAACTGGAGAAATGTGAAGGCTACCATGTTGCCATGGTGATTCCTATTACAGAATACTGGGCCCCACACAGACAGGCCATCACTCCATATGCCTTCGCTGATTTCCTCTTAAAAAATAAATTTTAATATAGAATCAAAACCAGTGCAGGTAACAAACAAATGAAAGGCAGAGAAGCAGGCTGTCTGTCACTGAGGGGATCCGGTCACCTCTGGGAGACTTAGAACTTCTGGGTGGAACGCTCACAACTCTGCAGGAGTTTACAGAGCACAGAACCCCAGCAAGGGACTGGGCTCGGCCTTGTGGGAGACAAAAGTCAAATGCTGCCAAAGTATATTTATGGAGGAAGAAGAGAAGCTCATCTGCAAATAATTATTTAAAAGGTGGAAAATACTGATTTCCACCTAATTTAGGGCTACCAAATGCATAAACATTAAGAGGAGGAAAAGAGTCTGTCTAGTTAGGAAGACCAGAAAGAGCTACCTAAAAAAAGTGAGGAGGAAAACACTGTGACACTTCCCCTGCCAGACTTTGCTTTACAGGCCCCTCACTCAGTCCCAACATGGCTGCGGCCATCACCCAACTCTGTGTGGAAAGAGGCTCTGAGGGAGGTGCTAAACTGTGCAAAGACAGCTGGGTAGTGGCCAAATCAGGATTTGAACCTAGGCTTTTCAGACTGTCCTCAGCACACTCTATAGCCCCCAGGTGGTATGTAGCCTAACCCAGAAAGAATGAATTTCAAATAGAAAATGGGGAAGAAGAAGGGGTAAGAAGAAGACATTCAGGGCTGACAGCAAAGAGTAACAGACACACAGAGACACCACAGTCCTGGGCAGAAGAGGGGAAGACAGGCTGAGGCAGGAAGTCATGAAGGACAAGAGTAAAGTTCAGAGGCCGCCAGGTCTCAAAGGGCCTCGAGTGCTACCTACGGAGCTAGTAACTGCATCAGGTTCAGCAGAGGGAGAGTGAAAACAAGGCTATGAACAGTCCAGGTGGAAAGCAGCTGATAGCCCCTCATGGACTGTGCCCTGCTGGACAGACTTGTGCTGGGGTGGGGAGCGGGGGTTCTGCAGGCAAAGGCCAGGGCCACATCAGAGCAGGCACTTGCAGGCTCAGCCTTCTGTGGATGACAGCACAGATGTGGGGCAGGGAAATGCACAGTCAGCTGATGGGGAAAGGAAGCCAGGGTCTTTTTTTGGTAACTATCAATGCCCTAGAAGTGGCTCTCCAACATCTGCCAGGAAAGCTTTTCATTTAAAAAAAAAAAAAAAGGCAAGAGGAAAATCTATCTGGCAAAACCCCAAGGTACTCAATTGTAAAGAGAAAACAACAAAACTGCACTCCTCCTTTCTACAAGGATCTGCTGGCTTCTAGCTTTCAGTCATTAAAAGAGACAGGCAAGAACATTCTGCAGAGGTAATGGGCCCTGAACTCACAGGATATTATCCACCTAGCCCAGAGAGAGCAGTCGGCGATTGTTTAAGGTAAAGAAGCCTCCTTACCCTTGCAAAACAATCCACAGCAGGGCTCCTTTAAATAACAAGTTCCTATGCAACCATAAAAAAGGATGAGTTCATGTCCTTTGTAGGGACATGGATGAAGCTGGAAACCATCATTCTGAGTAAGCTATTGCAAGGACAAAAAACCAAACACTGCATGCTCTCACTCATAGGTGGAAATTGAACAATGAGAACACTTGGACACAGGGTGGGGAACATCACACACCAGGGCCTGTCGTGGGGTGGGAAGAGGGGGGAGGGATAGCATTAGGAGAAATACCTAATGTAAATGACGAGTTAACGGGTGCAGCACACCAACATGGCACATGTATACATATGTAACAAACCTGTACATTGTTCACATGTACCCTAGAACTTAAAGTATAATAATAAAAAATATATAAAAAAATAAATAAATAACAAGTTCCCCTGGTGCATGTGAAGTAAGACTCCATTCATGCTCCCCAACACTGCAGGTACATCTGCTCAAGACCAAGCTCATGGGAACCTTCTCTGTCCCTCGTCCCTAATGTGCTTTCAGGCTGTAGTCCCTCGGGCCCATACTCAGCACCTGAAAGGGTTCACAGCCTCTGCAAGCCAGACCCTTCCTGAAGGGACGCTTTCCTGGCAATGACAGCTGGCTGGCTTAAGAAGTCCAGTGCTGAGCGCCTCTGCTCTTAGCAAAATGTGGGTTGTGAGAAAGCCAGTTCATCACACAAAAACAGAGCCAAACAATGGCTCTAAAGCCCTTACAACCACCTGGCTGTGGCTGCTTATGTTTAAGTTTAATCAGGATTAATATGACAACGCCAACGAGAAAGCGCCAAGCCCATGTGCCTGGCTCAGTGCTCAGCTTCCATCATTCCCCTGACATTCCCAAGCACACAGTTTGACACTGATGCTAAGGGAGATATCATTAACAACAACACTCCTCCTCTTGGACCTCGGGGAGGTCCTGGCCTAGAGGTGGGTATGGACACGTAGAAGGAAGGAGGAGGAAGATGCAGAGGGGGAGGGGGAGGACAGGGAGGAAGAGAAAAGTGGTTGGGGAGGCAGAAGAGCCAATCAGAACAGAGAAGAAAATGACATCTGAATGGATGTCAATAGACACCTTTCCTGGGGCAGAGGAAGGGGGAAAGTGCCTTCTAAGTAGAAGGACCATTCTAAACAAAGCACAGAGGGATGAAGCTGTGAGTGTTCTGCAAATGGGGAGGAAGGCTCTGTGCCTCCAGCAGAGGTGAGCGTCTCTTCCTTGAGGAAAGCTAGGATGAGGCCAGCAGAGGCACAGCTAAGCACCTTGACTGCTAGGTCAGACTTGGGGACTTGATCACAGAAATGTAGGAAAGTCATTGCATGCTTCAGATCAAAGGAGTGGCATGACCAGTTATGTGTTTCTGATGGATAATTCTGGTGGTAGGTAGAAGGAGCTCAAGGGAGCAAGGGCTGTGGACACAGATGGGGGGGGGGGGGCAAGAACCCACAGGAGCAACAGCAAGGGCTAGACTAGAAGAGTAGCTATGGAAAGAGCAGAGACTTGATTTAAGAAGGAAAACGCAAGGTTGAGAGAATAGGCCTTGCAATGGCACAGAGGTGAGAGAGAGGGAGGAGTCAAGGATGATAACCAGGTTTCCAGCTTAGACAACGAGGTGGAGGGCGCTGGGATCCACAAGGGCACACTAGGAGAGCACGCCTGGCAGACAAGACAGAGGATTCTGTGTGCGACCATGCTGCGGTGTGGATCTGGACATGCAGAATTCAGAGTCTCTGGCATACAGAGGATGGCTGGAACCATGGGAAGACAGGAAGCTGCTCAGAGAGACATCCACTGGGGTTAAGTCCCTGGGGAATGCTGATACTGAAGGATCAGGTAGGAAATAATAACAGAGCTTTGGTGAAAACATAGCCCTGGAATAAAAGGGCTTAGGATATTAACTTGTTTCTGTGTTTTCTCCAGAGCTCATTATCACCAAACTGAAAGTCTCTCCTAGATTTGGATTAGATTCTGTTAAGAAAAACTCAAATCATTTTTCCTCTGCCCTCACACCACACAACAATCAATACAGAAGACTTCTGTGAGCCCAAAATATATAGGGATTTCTCCCCATCAGTAAACAAACAATTAATTCTACAGCAGACGCTAGCTGGGTATCCTCTAATTCTATTCCAACATTACCTACCTGGAAATGGAGTCAGATCCCACAGGTTGGGGGCTATCCCCAAAACTGCCTTCCCCATCCCCCTCACCCCACTTCAGACACCAGTCGCAAGTCCAAGCCTCCAGAACGCTGACTGACTGGCTTTAGGTTGGAGCTCCCATGACCCTCTCTTGGGTTTGATTAATTTGATGGAGTGGCTCACAGAACTCAGGGAAACACTTACATTTCCTGGTTTATTATAAGGGACACAGATGAAAAAAAGCACAGGGCAAGGCATGTGGGAGGGGGTGCCGAGCTTCTGTGTCCTCCCTGGGCGTACCACTCTCCAGGAACTTCTAAGTGTTCGGTTATCTGGAAGCTCTCCAAGTCTGTCCTCTTAGGTTTTTATGGAGGCATCATTTCATAGGCATGATTGATTAAACCATTGGCCATTTGGTGATCAACTTAACCTTAGGCTGGTGGGGAGTGGGGCTAAAGGCCCAATCCTCCAATCTTGCTTTGTGTTTCTGGTGACCAGTCCCATGCTGAAGTTATCAGTCAATCATTCACATACAAAAAGACATCGACATTACTCTGCAGATTCCAAGGATTTTAGGAGTTGTAAACCAGGAAAAGGAGGACAAAGACCAAATATGTATTTCAAAATATCATATTCATAAACTCTGTCCTGTCTGTGCTTCAGCAAAGAGACACAAATTCCTTTACAGAGGCAAACAGAAGTGATGACAAAGAGTTACCGCCAACGCTTTTAAAATAAACTGTGTCTTTCCCTCTGTTCTCTCCGTAGAGACATCTTCCCTACCTCTACTCCTTTCTGACTACCTCTGATATCGATAACCCACCTTGAAAAATGTACTTCAATCCAGAAATAGAAAATCAAAGAAAGCTACCCATCAATATTCTGGGTGTAATAATTATTCTAGCAAAGTTAGCTACGTTTAATGCTGGGTTCCTCTGGGGAGCTCTATCCTGCACTCCATAAATACTGAGTTGGATCTGAGCTCTTCCTCAAATTACTATTCTCCCATCTGGATGAGAACTACACAAGACCTAGAACTAATAGCTTCTCCACAGATCCCCCGATCAACTAGTGTCCTCCAATTCACTGATGCTTTGAGGTTCACTCTAGGCAATACCCTCTTGTCCCAACATAAACCAGCTCCATTCCTGGAAGACTGGCAAAGGGCTAGAATTACTGCTAGTAAGCAAAGAAACAGGTGAGGGTGGACCCTGGATTCAGTGTGTCCAGGCCAGCTGATGGGCATCCAAGGGCCCTAGATAGGTCATGAGAGTGGGGTCCCCCATAAGTTCTGGGTACCCGTGCAAAGCCTCTGCTCATTGTTGAGTTTCTTCATTTCCAAAAACTAATGCCTTTCTCAAATTGTGTTTGTGATGACTCAAGGAGCTCATGTGGGTGAAAGCTCCTCAGTAGTGGCCAGTACCTAGCAGATGCTCAGAATTATACATTTCTTTCTGTCCTTCCTCTCACTACAGATAATGGAGAGTTAGTCGCAACTTTAGGAAAACTCACTGAAGTAAGGTGACCATTTATCTCATATTTTATTAAAACAGCAAAGTACCTTAGTATATTTAAAAACAACAGCAGGAATATAATTTATTGACATTAATTTTGAATTTCCTTACCCATAATCTATTTGATTCTAAATAACAACCTGATACGTTCAACAAGGTAGAGACAGCATCTCTTTTAACAAAAGAACAAAGCCAAGGCTCAGAAAAGGGGCATGACTTGCCCAAGGTCCTGTGGCCGATAAAAGGCAAAATGAAGATCTGAACTCAAAATTTTTGAAATTTTGAAAATTTTAAGATTTATTGACCTACTCTACTTGCTATAGGTAAGAAATTTCACAGAAAACATCTAATTTTCTGATTCTATATTCCATATCCTTCCGCAGCACTATGTTGACTCCCTAAAAATACTCATAAACTTTCATTTTTACAAACTTAATCAGGTTTATAATACATAAGGCAAGAATTATATACACATAATCATGGTAGGTTCCAAGACAGCCTAGAATTCCTGGGGTGAAGATGAGTCACAAACACCAACCCTTCCAGCAAGAAGCCTCCAGGATAAAGAGGCAAAATATACGAGGACATTCAAAGGCACATGTAAAAATCCCAAGGTGCCAACCAACAGGGAAAAGAAGAAAAGGTATTCCACAAAAAGCATTGTCATAAAAGTTAAAGCAAGAATGGAGATGCGGCCGGGCACGGTGGCTCATGCTTGTAATCCCAGCACTGTGGGAGGCTGAGGTAGGCAGATTACCTGAGGTCAGGAGTTCGAGACCAGCCTGACCAATGTGGCAAAACCCCACCTCTACTAAAAATACAAAAAAAAAAAATTAGCTGGGTATGGTGGTGGGTGCCTGTAATCCCAGCATACTAGGGAAACTGAGGCAGGAGAATTGCTTGAACCCAGGAGGCGGAGGTTGCAGTAAGCCGAGATCGCGCCACTGCACTCCAGCCGTGGCAACAAGAGTGGAAAAAAAAAGAACTGAGATGCAACTCAAAAGGCATAAACCAGAAAACATCTTGGGTTATACTAGAAGCCAGAAAAAGATGTTCTTGACAAATTTTTAACATGAGATTGATAACATCATGCCAAAAAAAAAAAAAAACACACATGGACTAAAGACTCTGATCAGGCCACAGAGAGAAGGGGAGGGAGGAAAACCAAATCTACACCTTCAAACTTGCATGTTGAGGCCCTCAGAAAAGTGGCCAAATACATTCCAGGATAAGTTAGTATTTCTAAGACTTCATGGAAGATTGATAATTTGAGAAACTTGGAAAAGAGCCACTATGATTTTTCACTTAAAAAAAAAAAAAACCTGCACAGATACAAGACTAGAAAACTACAGATAAACTTTATGAGAGGGCCTGAGTTTTTCCTCTTCTAATAACTATAGTAAAAGCGATGCTCTTGCCCTCACCACAAGCAGCATGGTAGAGATGGAAATTCATTTGCAAATATCTGCAAGGAAAACGTACTATGTTGCTGCATGGCTACGTGAAAACAAATTTTGGCAGATTAATCTTCCAGGCCAGAATAATAGGCCAAACAGGTCTTAGGGCCACACTGTCTTACTTGGCAGGACACTGGGCCCTGTCCCCCATGATATGGGCATCAAATACAAGGGACAATATGAGATAAAGTCCCTTTGAGGAAGGAGCTAAATGTCTGGCAGATTCCATTCCATTCACATTACTAAGCCTGTGCCTTCTGGGCCATGGGGATTTAATAAGCAGAGCTGTGTAGGAATATGTCATTGGTCCAAGTTTGTCAACAGCCTCCTCAAATACCTTGCTGCTGGTCCACTGGAGTAGTGTAAATTCAAAGTATAGAAAACAGCTTGGGGCAGGGGAAAAAAAAAAATGGAAAAGTGGCCACACTCAAAGGAAAGAATTAGAACGGAAATAACAAACAAGTGGTCTGCAAGCCACTTTTTGTCAAGATGTTCTGTTTGATTAGCAAACATTAAAAATAACTAATTAATTGCCAACACTTAAAACTTGAGATGTTTCATATAAAACCCTGGATTTCTCACTTAGAAAAATAAGAAAATGTATTAACAGTAGAGCCATATTCCTACAGGCAGTGATCAGCTGAAGCTGAAGTGACCCCTTGGGCAGAACACCCACACTTGCCACAGTCCACACCATTCCCTATTACTGACATACAAGGCTAGTTTCGCTCAATTAATTCTGCATAGCTTAGTTTGTTAGCTCTTGATGGGAATGAAATGATTTAGAGGTTCAACAACCAGTCTCATAAAAAATAAGCCACACAAAGAACTAAAATTAGGAACAAAAATCAAGCAGTAAAAATTGCACTTTTCCCCAATATTTTTGGTATTCATTAGAGCTCTATCCTAAGTCCTCTTCTCTTCTCATTTCACACACATTTTACAGACACATCCCATCTGCTCCCAACCAATTATCCATGGGCTGGTGCATTATTCTGTCTCTAACCTGGTGGTCCCGCCTACAGGACATCTCATGTGCCTGCAGGCACAAGTCTCTCTACAACTGAGCCCAGCCTCTCCTCCTGCCCCATCCCACCCCCACAACCTGTTCTTCCTCTTGTGTCCCACAGCTCAGGAAATATCCACCATTTACACGGTAGTATGATAGCATCCATACTGAGCCTTCTCTAATAAGCTTTCCATTTTGGAATAGTTTTAAACTTACAAAACAGTTGTAAAGATAATACAGAGTCCCTATACACTCCCCACCCAGTTTCCCCTAATGTTAACATCTTCTATTATTGTAGTGCCTTTGTCACAACTAAAAAACCCACTTTACTACTCTATTAAACTTGAAACAATTTGACTTTCACCAGTTTTTCTGTTTGTTTCTGTTCTAGTACCCAATCCTAGGTGTCACACTACATTTTGATCTCATTAGTTTTTAAAGTTTATTTCTATCAACATCAAATAGCACATAAATAGTCTATCACCACAAACTGTAGTACTTGGCTCATCTCTCCCCATTTCCTGGGAGACAACCTAGATTATTCTAGCTGTTTCTTCAAGTATTTGCCTCCATGTTTCTAATTCTGGCATCTATTGACTTCCCACTATGACAGGTAAAGATTTTGCTCTTGCACACGTACCTCCTCCATATAAGTCTCCCATCCCGTATTAATTCCCCAAGTTTAACCAAAACATGTGTATGGTTCAACAATTAGTGTTCACAGGATGACTGGAAATATTATTCACAGCTGAGCCATGTACTGTACTTTAGTTATATTTCCTTTCTAGTATAACTTTGTTTTCTCTGAAATTAAATTTTGTTCTTTTGGGATTTTAAAGACATTGATCCATTGTCTTGTAGCTTCCAGTGTTGCTGTTGTATGAAGACACTCTGATTCTTAAACTCTCTGTATATGAGGGGTCTTCATAAAGTTCATGGAAAATGTATATTATTTTAAAACTATGCATGGATTTCAATTTTTTGACACCAAAATAAACTCATACTAACTTATTATAACACATCTGAACAGGATTTAGTTTGAGCACTGAGAAGGATAAAATATCAGTTTGAAAACAGCTCCTACCAGAGCAACATGAATTCTGCTAAAATTGAAGCAAGAACAAACATCAAATTTATGGTGAAACTTAGGTGGAAAAATGATGAAACCATTAATGCTTTTCAAAATTTATGGGGGTAATGCCCCAAAGAAATCAGCAGTTTACATATAGATACCTTGTTTTAGAAGGAATGAGACAATGTTGAGAATAAAGCCCTCTGTGGCACACCATCCACATCAATCTGCAGGGAAAAAAATTTATCTTCTTTGTGCCCTAATTAAAGATGACAAATGTTTAACAGCAGCACAAGAGCGGACACAGACATCTCTCTTGGTTCAGCTTACACAATTCTGAGTGAAAACTAAAGTTAAGCAAAGTTTCCACTCAATAGGTGCCAAAACTGTTGCACCCAGATCAGCTGCAGACAAGGGCAGAGCTTTACACAGTAAAATTTAAAATTTCCACAGTAGAAATTTTAAACAAGTGAAATCAACATCCTGAGCATGTCTTTGAAGAACTGTAAAAGGAGACAGAACACAACTCTACCAGTACAATCCTGAAGACAAGCACAACCTAAGCAGTGGCTACCAAGAGGCGGAAGGGGTCCCGTCAAAGCAAAAGCAGACTGCTCAGGCCAGGCACAGTGGCTCATGCCTGCTAGCACTTTGGGAGGCCAAGGTGGGCGGATCACTTGATGCCAGGAGTTCCAGACCAGCCTGGCCAACATAGCAAAACTCTGTCTCTGCTAAAAATACAAAAAAATTAGCTGGGCGTGGTGGCATATGCCTGTAATCCCAGCTACTCAGGAGGCTGAGGCAGGAGAATCACTTGAACCTGGGAGGTGGAGGCTGCAGTGAGCTGAGATCACGCCACTGCACTCCAGCCTAGGTAACAGAGCAAGACTCTGTCTCAAAAAAGAAAAAAAAAAGACCACTCAAAGGTCATGGCAACAGTTTTGGGTATGCTCAATGCATTTTGCTTGCGGACAATAACATCTGCTTATTATGAGAGTGTTTTGAGAAAATTAGCCAAAGCCTTAGAAAAATGCCCAGGAAAGCTTCACCAGAAAGTCCTTCTCCACCAGGACAATGCTCCTGCTCATTCCTCTCACCAAACGAGGGCAACTTGGGGAGAGTTTTGACAGAAAATCATTAGGTATCCACTTTACAGTCCTGATTTGGCTCCTTCTGATTTCTTTTTGCTTCTTAATCTTAAAAAATCTTTAAATGGCACCCATTTTTCTTCAGTTAATAATGCCAAAAAGACTACATTGACATGGTTAAATTCCCAGGACCCTCAGTTCTTCAGGAATGGATTAAATGGCTGGTATCACTGTGTACAAAAGTGTCTTGAACTTGATAAAGCTCATGGCAAGAAACAAAGTTTATATTTTTATCTTTTAATTCAATTTTTCTACAAACATTTTGAAGTTCCTTCCCATAACATGTTTTCTTTTTTCTTGAGTAACACAGCCCTCTAAGACAGCCCCGATGATCCCCATCACCTAGTATTCACACCCTTAAACCAAGGGTTGGACCTACAGCCCTCATTCAGAATATGGCAAAAGAATATGGCAAAAGTGATGGAATGTCCCTTCCAAGATTAGCTTTCAAAAGACTGAATTCTGTTGTTCACACTCTCTCTTTCTCACTCTGATGAGGCAAGCTGCTATGAGACCCAAACCCAAGAAACAGAGGCCCTTAATCCAACAGCCCACAAGGAATTGAATTCAGACAACAATCTGAATGAGTGCAGAAATGGATCCAACCCCCAACAAGCCTTCGGATGATCGTAGCCCTAACAACATCTTAACTGAAACTGTTTGCATGATCCAAAGGCAAGTGAATCAGCTATGCCCACAAAAACTGTGAGACATAAATGTTGTTGTTTTAAGCCAGGAAACACAGGGCCTGACCTGGCCACGTGTTTTTGTAAATAAAGCTTTACTGGAACACAGTCATAACCACTCACTTACATATTGACTATGGCTGCTCTTGTGCTACAATGGCAAAGATGGGTCACTGCAATAGAGACCATGTGGCCCGTAAGACTACTATGAAAAAGTTTGCCACTCCCTGTTCTAAGCCACTAAGTTTTGGAGTAATTTGTTATACAGCAGGAGATAATAACACATCCCTCTGGAAACTTCAAGGATCAGTTCTTGTCCTTTATATTCTAAAATTTCATGATGTATCCTGGTATAGGTCTATTTTCGAAAGCTAATGGGCTACGAACTAACGGGCCCTTCTCAATCTGGAAGGTCTTATTCCTCAGTTCTGGGAAATGTTCTGAAATAATTTCATTAATAATTTCTTCAGTTTCCTCTTTCTGGTACTGCTACTGTTTGGATGCTTGACCTCCTGAGCTAAGACTCCAATTTTCCTAATGTTTCTCTCATATTTTCTATTGCTTTGTCTTTTTGTTCTAATTACTCAAATCTACTTTCTAGCCCTTCTATTGAATTATCCATTTCTGATACCATATTTTTAATTTCTAATGGGTTTTTTCTAAGTGTGATTTTTTACCAGTTCCCTACTCTTATTTTATGAATTCAATATTTTCTCTTTTCTGTGGATTTAACTTAAGAAAAAAAACTTTTTCTTCTGCTCCTCTGCATTATCTGTTCCCTGAGTTCCTTTTTTCTCTGTGTGTTTGTTTGGGACTATGGAGGCTGAATGTTTTGGTCTCACAATTTTTTTTTTTTTATACTTTAAGTTTTAGGGTACATGTGCACAATGTGAAGGTTAGTTACATATGTATACATGTGCCATGCTGGTGTGCTGCACCCATTAACTCCTCATTTAGCATTAGGTATATCGCCTAATGCTATCCCTCCCCCCTCCCCCCACCCCACAGCAGGCCCCAGAGTGTGATGTTCCCCTTCCTGTGTCCATGTGTTCTCACTGTTCAATTCCCATCTATGAATGAGAACATGCGGTGTTTCGTTTTTTGTCCTTGCGATAGCTTACTGAGAATGATGATTTCCAGTTTCATCCATGTCCCTACAAAGGACATGAACTCATCATTTTTTATGGCTGCATAGTATTCCATGGTGTATATGTGCCACATTTCCTTAATCCAGTCTATCATTGTTGGACATTTGGGTTGGTTCCAAGTCTTTGCTATTGGGAATAGTGCCGCAATAAACATACATGTGCATATGTCTTTATAGCAGCATGATTTATAGTCCTTTGGGTATATACCCAGTAATGGGATGGCTGGGTCAAATAGTATTTCTAGTTCTAGATCCCTGAGGAATCGCCACACTGACTTCCACAATGGTTGAACTAGTTTACAGTCCCACCAACAGTGTAAAAGTGTTCCTATTTGTCCACATCCTCTCCAGCACCTGTTGTTTCCTGACTTTTTAATGATTGCCATTCTAACTGGTATGAGATGGTATCTCATTGTGGTTTTGATTTGCATTTCTCTGATGGCCAGTGATGATGAGCATTTTTTCATGTGTCTTTTGGCTGCATAAATGTCTTCTTTTGAGAAGTGTCTGTTCATATCCTTTGCCCACTTTTTGATGGGGTTGTTTTTTTCTTGTAAATTTGTTTGAGTTCATTGTAGATTCTGGATATTAGTCCTTTGTCAGATGAGTAGGGTGCGAAAATTTTCTCCCATTTTTTAGGTTGTCTGTTCACTCTGATGGTAGTTTCTTTTGCTGTGCAGAAGCTCTTTAGTTTAATTAGATCCCATTTGTCAATTTTGGCTTTTGTTGCCATTGCTTTTGGTGTTTTAGACATGAAGTCCTTGCCCATGCCTATGTCCTGAATGGTAATGTCTAGGTTTTCTTCTAGGGTTTTTATGGTTTTAGGTCTAATATTTAAGTCTTTAATCCATCTTGAATTAATTTTTGTATAAGGTGTAAGGAAGGGATCCAGTTTTAGCTTTCTACATATGGCTAGCCAGTTTTCCCAGCACCATTTATTATATAGGGAATCCTTTCCCCATTGCTTGTTTTTCTCAGGTTTGTCAAAGATCAATAGTTGTAGATATGTGGCATTATTTCTGAGGGCTCTGTTCTGTTCCATTGATCTATATCTCTGTTTTGGTACCAGTACCATGCTGTTTTGGTTACTGTAGCCTTGTAGTATAGTTTGAAGTCAGGTAGCGTGATGCCTCCAACTTTGTTCTTTTGGCTTAGGATCGACTTGGCGATGCGGGCTCTTTTTTGGTTCCATATGAACTTTAAAGTAGTTTTTTCCAATTCTGTGAAAAAAGTCATTGGTAGCTTGATGGGGAGGGCATTGAATCTATAAATTACCTTGGGCAGTATGGCCATTTTCACGATATTGATTCTTCCTATCCATGAGCATGGAATGTTCTTCCATTTGTTTGTATCCTCTTTTATTTCCTTGAGCAGTGGTTTGTAGTTCTCCTTGAAGAGGTCCTTCACATCCCTTGTAAGTTGGATTCCTAAGTATTTTATTCTCTTTGAAGCAATTGTGAATGGGAGTTCACTCATGATTTGGCTCTCTGTTTGTCTGTTATTGGTGTATAAGAATGCTTGTGACTTTTGCACATTGATTTTGTATCCTGAGACTTTGCTGAAGTTGCTTATCAGCTTAAGGAGATTTTGGGCTGAGATGATGGGGTTTTCTAGATACACAATCATGTCGTCTGCAAACAGGGACAGTTTGACTTCCTCTTTTCCTAACTGAATACCCTTTATTTCCTTCTCTTGCCTAATTGCCCTGGCCAGAACTTCCAACACTATGTTGAATAGGGGTGGTGAGAGAGGGCATCCCTGTCTTGTGCCAGTTTTCAAAGGGAATGCTTCCAGTTTTTGCCCATTCAGTATGATATTGGCTGTGGGTTTGTCATAAATATCTCGTATTATTTTGAGATACGTCCCATCAATACCTAATTTATTGAGAGTTTTTAGCATGAAGGGTTGTTGAATTTTGTCAAAGGCCTTTTCTGCATCTATTGAGATAATCATGTGGTTTTTGTCTTTGGTTCTGTTTATATGCTGGATTACATTTATTGATTTGCGTATATTGAACCAGCCTTGCATCCCAGGGATGAAGCCCACTTGATCACGGTGGATAAGCTTTTTGATGTGCTGCTGGATTTGGTTTGCCAGTATTTTATTGAGGATTTTTGCATCAATGTTCATCAAGGATATTGGTCTAAAATTCTCTTTTTTTTGTTGTGTCTCTGCCAGGCTTTGGTATCAGGATGATGCTGGCCTCATAAAATGAATTAGGGAGAATTCCCTCTTTTTCTATTGATTGGAATAGTTTCAGAAGGAATGGTACCAGTTCCTCCTTATACCTCTGTGAATCCGTCTGGTCCTCGACTCTTTTTGGTTGGTAAGCTATTGATTATTGCCACAATTTCAGATCCTGTTATTGGTCTATTCAGAGATTCAACTTCTTCCTGGTTTAGTCTTGGGAGGGTGTATGTGTCGAGGAATTTATCCATTTCTTCTAGATTTTCTGGTTTACTTGCGTAGAGGTGTTTGTAGTATTCTCTGATGGTAGTTTGTATTTCTGTGGGATCGGTGGTGATATCCCCTTTATCATTTTTTATTGCGTCTATTTGATTCTTCTCTCTTTTTTTCTTTATTAGTCTTGCTAGCGGTCTATCAATTTTGTTGATCCTTTCAAAAAACCAGCTCCTGGATTCATTAATTTTTCGAAGGGTTTTTTTGTCTCTATTTCCTCCAGTTCTGCTCTCATTTTAGTTATTTCTTGCCTTCTGCTAGCTTTTGAATGTGTTTGCTCTTGCTTTTCTAGTTCTTTTAATTGTGAGGTTAGGGTGTCAATTTTGGATCTTTCCTGCTTTCTCTTGTGGGCATTTAGTGCTATAAATTTCCCTCTACACACTGCTTTGAATGTGTCCCAGAGATTCTGGTATGTTATGTCTTTGTTCTCGTTGGTTTAAAAGAACATCTTTATTTCTGCCTTCATTTCGTTATGTATCCATTAATCATTCAGGAGCAGGTTCTTCAGTTTCCACGTAGTTGAGCGGTTTTGAGTGAGTTTCTTAATCCTGAGTTCTAGTTTGATTGCACTGTGGTCTGAGAGACAGTTTGTTATAATTTCTGTTCTTTTACATTTGCTGAGGAGAGCTTTACTTCCAACTATGTGGTCAATTTTGGAATAGGTGTGGTGTGGTGCTGACAAAAATGTATATTCCGTTGATCTGGGGTGGAGAGTTCTGTAGATGTCTATTAGGTCTGCTTGGCAGAGCCAAGTTCAATTCCTGGGTATCCTTGTTAACTTTCTGTCTCGTTGATCTGTCTAATGTTGACAGTGGGGTGTTAAAGTCTCCCATTATTATTGTGTGGGAGTCTAAGTCTCTTTCTAGGTCACTCAGGACTTGCTTTATGAATCTGGGTGCTCCTGTATTGGGTGCAGATATATTTAGGATAGTTAGCTCTTCTTGTTGAATTGATCCCTTTACCACTATGTAATGGCCTTCTTTGTCTCTTTTGATCTTTGTTGGTTTAAAGTCTGTTTTATCAGAGACTAGGATTGCAACCCCTGCCTTTTTTTGTTTTCCATTTGCTTGGTAGATCTTCCTCCATCCCTTTATTTTGAGCCTATGTGTGTCTCTGCATGTGAGATGGGTTTCCTGAATACAGCACACCAATGGGTCTTGACTCTTTATCCAATTTGCCACTCTCTGTCTTTTAATTGGAACATTTAGCCCATTTACATTTAAAGTTAATATTGTTATGTGTGAATTTGATCCTGTCATTATGATGTTAGCTGGTTATTTTGCTCGTTAGTTGATGCAGTTTCTTCCTAGTCTCGATGGTCTTTTACATTTTCGCATGTTTTTGCAGTGGTTGGTACTAGTTGTTCCTTTCCACGTTTAGTGCTTGTGTCAGGAGCTCTTGTAGGGCAGGCCTGGTGGTGACAAAATCTCTCAGCATTTGCTTGTCTGTAAAGGATTTTATTTCTCTTCACTTATGAAGCTTAGTTTGGCTGGATATGAAATTCTGGGTTGAAAATTCTTTTCTTTAAGAATGTTGAATATCGGCCCCCACTCTCTTCTGGCTTGTAGAGTTTCTGCTGAGAGATCAGCTGTTAGTCTGATGGGCTTCCCTTTGTGGGTAACCCAACCTTTCTCTCTGGCTGACCTTAACATTTTTTCATTCATTTCAACTTTGGTGAATCTGACAGTTATGTGTCTTGGAGTTGCTCTTCTCGAGGAGTATCTTTGTGGTGTTCTCTGTATTTCCTGAATTTGAATGTTGGCCTGCATGGCTAGATTGGGGAAGCTCTCCTGGATAATATCCTGCAGAGTGTTTTCCAACTTGGTTCCATTCTCCCCGTCACTTTCAGGTACACCAATCAGACGTAGATTTGGTCTTTTCACATAGTCCCATATTTCTTGGAGGCTTTCTTCATTTCTTTTTATTCTTTTCTCTCTAAACTTCCCTTCTCGCTTCATTTCATTCATTTCATCTTCCATCACTGAAACCCTTTCTTCCAGTTGATCGCATCAGCTCCTGAGGCTTCTGCATTCTTCACGTAGTTCTCAAGCATTGGCTTTCAGCTCCATCAGCTCCTTTAAGCACTTCTCTGTATTGGTTATTCTAGTTATACATTCGTCTAAATTTTTTTCAACATTTTCAATCTCTTTGCCTTTGGTTTGAATTTCCTCCTGTAGCTCACAGTAGTTTGATCGTCTGAAGCCTTCTTCTCTCAACTCATCAAAGTCATTCTCCATCCAGCTTTGTTCCGTTGCTGGTAAGGAACTGCATTCCTTTGGAGGAGGAGAGGCACTCTGCTTTTTAGAGTTTCCAGTTTTTCTGCTCTGTTTTTTCCCCATCTTTGTGGTTTTATCTACTTTTGGTCTTTGATGATGGTGATGTACAGATGCGTTTTTGGTGTGGATGTCCTTTCTGTTTGTTAGTTTTCCTTCTAACGGACAGGACCCTCAGCTGCAGATCTGTTGGAGTTTGCTAGAGGTCCACTCCAGACCTTGTTTGCCTGGGTATCAGCAGCGGTGCCTGCAGAACAGTGGATTTTCATGAACCGCGAATGCTGCTGTCTGATCGTTCCTCTGGAAGTTTTGTCTCAGAGGAGTACCCGGCTGTGTGAGGTGTCAGTCTGCCCCTACTGGGGGTTGCCTCACAGTTAGGCTGCTCGGGGGTCAGGGGTCAGGGACCCACTTGAGGAGGCAGTCTGCCCGTTCTCAGATCTCCAGCTGCGTGCTGGGAGAACCACTGCTCTCTTCAAAGCTGTCAGACAGGGACATTTAAGTCTGCAGAGGTTACTGCTGTCTTTTTGTTTGTCTGTGCCCTGCCCCCAGAGGTGGAGCCTACAGAGGCAGCAAGGCCTCCTTGAGCTCTGGTGGGCTCCACCCAGCTGGAGGTTCCTGGCTGCTTTGTTTACCTAAGCAAGCCTGGGCAATGTCGGGTGCCCCTCCCCTAGCTTCGCTGCCGCCTTGCAGTTTGATCTCAGACTGCTGTGCTAGCAATCAGCAAGACTCCGTGGGCGTAGGATCCTCCGAGCCAGGTGCGGGATATAATCTCCTGGTGCGCCATTTCCTAAGCCCATCAGAAAAGTGCAGTATCGGGTGGGAGTGACCCGATTTTCCAGGTGCCGTCTGTCACCCCTTTCCTTGACCAGGAAAGGGAACTCCCTGACCCCTTGCGCTTCCTGAGTGAGGCAATGCCTCGCCCTGCTTCGGCTTGCGCACGGTGCGCTGCACCGCCTGTCCTGCGCCCACTGTCTGGCACCCCCTAGTAAGATGAACCCAGTACCTCAGATGGAAATGCAGAAATCACCCATCTTCTGCGTCGCTCACGCTGGGAGCTGTGGACCGGAGCTGTTCCTATTCGGCCATCTTGGCTCCTCCATCTAGTCTCACATTTATATCGGTTTTTATTTTGGTCATGTTAGAGGAAGTTATCAAATATCTCTTGACAGAGTCATCTCGTTATAGTTAAGAATGAAGCAATAACAAACTGATTGCAAGGTCTGTTTCTATGGAAGTGATTTGTCAATTGGTAGGGTGATCTAATCAGAACATTTTACTGAAGAACTTCTAAATTTCCATGTTTATGAAGCTTTTCACTTGGGCCCTCTAACCTCTCATGAAGCAATCTTTTAATCTCCTGTAGGGCTGTGGTTAAGCCTGTTTTCTTCGAGTATAGTGAGGAAGAATGCTTGGGCAGGTGGAAGGTCTCAGCCTGTCTTGAGTATGATGCTCCTTTTTTCTGTGATGCCTGCTGTGCCAGCATCCAAAGTCCTTTCATTTGATCCTCACAGGGGGATAACCTGGAGGATAAACCACTGATCTGCTGGTGGGAAGGAGATAAAACTGTGACGTTTTATCTCGTAGTTTTATCAGATCACAGAGGGGATCTGACTGTGTCTCACACAGACTTCAACCTCATCTTTTCATTCTCTACTCCACCTGAACCCCACTTTCAGAGGGGCCTGCTCCCTCCAATTCTGGAGCTCTTTGGGGACACCCTGGTAAGTGGCCCAACTGCTTCTGTGATTCTTCACTGCAGGCCCGAGTTCCAGCTGTCTCTGGATTTCTCAATTACCCACCAACCATCCACCTCTTTTCCAGCTGTCACAATTTTGCTGCCATCATCCTTATCTCCCATGTCTTTACTCTCCTTTTAATTGGGCTTGGGGACAGAGCAAAGGGAAATGGTATGTTCAATATGCCTTCTATAGCACACAGCCCAGATGCCCTCAAGTCTCACATCCTTACAATCGTTGAGTTTTATCTTTCCTAGAAACTTATCTGATAATATATATCACAATTTTAAATGTGCATATGAGTTGATGATTTCTAAAAATATAACCTTAAGAAAATAATGGACAAAAGAAGGAAAGATGTAGATGTATATTTGGCACAGTGTTGATTTTAATATTAAAAACAGGAAATAAGTATATAATAATAGATAATTGGTTAAATAAATTATGCATATCCAATTATGAAATACTATGCAAACTTGAAAAATGATGGGGTAGACCTGTATTTACAGACATGAAAAATATCCACAATGTTTTGCTAAATGAAAAAGACTGTTTACAAAACAACATATGAAGTAAGACCCAAAACTCTAGTATTATTTGGAAGGACAGAGACCAAGATGGCGCAGCCTTCTTTTTCTCCAGGCCGTGGTATTCTGGGTGTTTCTTTCTTCTTTTTGCTGTTCTGTTAGACTTTCTCACCTAACCCCAACCCAGGAGAAAAAAGGACACCAGGCGAAGAGATCAGGCATCCCCCAAGCAGACTGTAGCTATGCTATGATACTGTCAGTGGGGTACACGAGAGACACCCAGGAATGTGGGGCGATGCGAGCTCTGAGAATCTCTGCTTCCAGAGTCAGGACAAGCTGGCTCATCCCTAGTTCTGACCCTGACACAAAGACCACCTGGATGGCCATCTCTTCACGTCCTGTTTGTTTTCTAAAGAAAGATGGATCCACGTTTTATCACAGGAGTACTCTGAAAATAAATGACTAGACCACTAAGAAACAAATACATTTTATGAGAAGGGTGTTGAATAAATACATCAGTAGTTTGTCAAGGCATCTTGAGGTCCTATCCTAGCAATTCTCATCTAATAAGCACTCCCTCTGGGCTTGTCCTTGGCTTTCTACACAACTGTCTGTTGCAAGTACATTTTTCAGCTTGTAGTGCCCACACCCATCTGTTGAGTACAGCTAGAGACAAGAGTGATTCCTTCACTTGTTCAACACCTTTTTATTTTTCAGTCCCCACCAAGTTCCTGGCTGAATGCTAGAGATTCCGAGAGGACAAAAACACAGACTCTGCCTTTAAGGAAGCTGTGCTCCAGGAAATGGGAAATAAACCACAATGTTAACAAAGGGCCAAGCCTGGTAATGCAAAAGTCCAGGAGCCATGGGGGTCCATGCAAGGGAACACCTCACCAGCACCAGAGGGCATAGACAGCTTCTTGAAGGAGGGTACATTTAAGCCAATCCTGAAACTTCTCCTGTTAACCTGGGGAAGAAAGAAAAACGGAACATTCCAGGATACAAGAGCAACTGACCAAGGCACAAAAGGCCTTAGAATGTTCAGCAACTACAAATCTTTTTAGCCTGGATGAATCAGGCACTGGAGCCCACATGGAGTGAGAGGCAAGGCAGACTGAGCTCCAATTCCTGCGAAATTCAACCAACATCTGGTCTTGGTGACTGGGCAGCTGGCTATCTGTGACTGTCAAAGGTCCTCTCCGACCAGAAGAGTCCAGGAGGGCAAGAAGGTGACTCAGCCCAGCCGCTGCTTTGAGGAGCCCACAGGCTGACAGGAGGGTTCCGGAGCAGCTCCAAGCCACAGAGCGGGGGCACCCTGCTAGTAACAGAACGAGTACCATCGGGGAGCCGAGAGGATGCTCGCATCATGACTAGGCCTGCCACAAAGGAAAAACAGCGGGGAAAAGAAAACCGTATCCACTGAAAAGGGCACATTTAGTTTCCAGATCAAACTGTGGCCCATCCTGAAAGCAAGGGAGGTGGGCTGACAACACAGACCCGAGAAACCTCAGCAGAAAGCCTCTAATGAAATCACTTTTGTTGTTTGAAGAACAGTGAGGTTTTAGCAGGCCCAGGTGTCTCCCACTCCATTTCTAAGTGGATGGTCAAAGAATACAAGCCACTCCAAGAACCAACATTCAGAAGTTCCATTTATCTTGCCTTTGGAGATGAAGCGGAGATCTCACTACTCAGCACTCCTCTCACACCCTGGCCCAGGAAGCCCGAGTGGCCCGTGTGCCTTGTCACCCTGCTGCGCTCATCCCCCCGCAGAACCTCCAGCACACCACTTGCTTTTCCCTCCTGCCACCCCTCTGTTATAATTCTGTGCTTCAAACTGTGAAGCAAAAGTCATAGACTTTTTAAAAAGACAGAGAGGGAAATCTGGTGAAATGCACATTAGCACATACAGCACAAGGCCTGGGAAGGAAACGGCACAGTTGGGGGAGATCATTCATCAACTCCCAAACCCTCCCTCGACAAGGAGGACTGGAGCCAGACACTGGCACGGAGGCGCCCTGTTACTCTTCTTCTTCCTTTTCACGCAGACACACCACACCATGGGGGAGAGCTTGGTGTGCCACACCACACCGAGTGGCAGAGCTTGGGTCAGGAGCCTGAGGGAGCACGTGTGTTAGAAACAAGTCCAGAACAATTCGCATCAACCTCTCCTCCACAGTGATCCTGGGAGTGGCCCTGGGGGCAAGGAGAGGGAGGCTGACTTTCACTTTTTCTTTTAAACACTTTGGGGGATTTTTAAGTTTTTAACAAATAGGTAGTAACTTTTTAAAGCATGTGTCACTACTGTATTAAAAAAAATACATTTGAAAAACAAAAGGTCCCAAGATAGGCATTAAGAATGTTCTTGAAGTCCCACGGTAAACTCAGGGCCTCAGCTCACACTTGGGACACCACATTTTCCATCTACAAATAAGTGGGAACAATAACTAGAAACAGACAAATCTGGAGATTACCTCCCTTAAATTAGTGACTCAAGGTCTTTTCAGTATTTTTAGGAAAATGACTTCCTGGGAAGCTCTATGTCAAATATGGAAAGTCTAGTTTCTTGCCCTGCTCCCCCGTCTTAGGCAGGTCTATTTATGTGGTCTTTCAACAATCCTCACTATCTCTCCTTAGCATTCATGGCAAGAGAAAAAAAGAACATAAGGTTTTCCTCAGCAAAGCAACACACAGAATGCTTCCACATGCCCAGGTGGCAACCCTCTCTCCCTGCTCGCCGGGCTAGAGAGCCTCAGACAGCCCCTCTCCTGCACACCCTGCAGAGAGAGACACAGAATGAGAGGCCCAGAGGTTGAGGCACCACTCACTCTTCCACCTCCAGGGGTAAGAAGGCCAGATGCGGTTCATCCATCTAAGCCTCTGAAAAACACTAAGCCTAGGGCAAGGAATAGGCAAAAGACAGGGGTAGAAAAGCCACTGGTGGGCCAGCTTTCCTAAAGCTTCCCTGGCAGAGTTCTACCTAAGGGCCTCCTGGCCCTGTACCCAAGGCTTCCCTGATCCTCCCCTGACTTCTCAGGGCCACTGTGAGGACTACGGAGATACAGTGGAGGGCAAGGAAGCTCGAGTTTGGCCACAGAGGCTTCGAGTGGGCCTAAATAAAAACCCTCCCAAGTACATGTGTAGTGGAGTCGATCCCCACACAGAAACCCTCTCCAGGGTGCCATCTCCATGGCCCACTAACAGAAGGACTCTGACATTTCCATTGTTCAAATCACACACAGTCCTAACCCCAGGAGCACAATGCTGACAGAGGCCTTCCCTGGGGCATATCTGGGCCAGGTGTACAGCCTTGGGAGCCACTGTACACTGATACTCCATGGTGTGGACGAGGATGACAATTCTCAGAGATTTAAATCCTTCTCTTGGAAAAATTACCTAAGTTATAAGAATAAATGTTCCCCAAGAAGATGACAAAACACTCCATTGGAAACTACTCTAAAGGAGTGAGAGAGTGAAGGAGAGGTGAGCAGGCAATCCCGGGGGGAAAAGAACCTTCATTTGATTGACTGATTTCACTGATTTGAATTAGTGATTAACTGATTGACAGGGTCTCTCACTCTGTTGCTCAGGCTGGAGTGCAGTGGCATGATCTCAGCTCACTGAAGCCTTGAACTCTTAGCCTCAAGCCATCTTCCCACCTCAGCCTCCTGAGTAGATGGGACCACAGGTGTACACCACCAAGCCCGGCTAATTTTGTTTTTATGTTTTTATAGAGATGGGGTTCTCACTATGGTGCCCAGGCTCGTCTTGAACTCCTGGGCTCAAGCAACCCTCCCTCCTCAGCCTCCCAAAGTGCTGGGATTACACCCATGAGCCACTACACCTGGCCAAGAATATTCATTTCACTAGCCAGTAAGAGTGCCACCTGTAGACAAAAATCAGGGAAGAGATCAAGTCACCACCCTTTCTGCAAACCCCACCACTGAAACTGACTATGAGCTATCACCTGAGTGAGCTCTTACCTCCAACACATACCCATTCTCCTTGCCCAAAGCAAGAAGGCTCCTCTAACATAAATACAGAGCCCCAGCAGAAGGGTAAGTAAACCATTCTGGCTTCCCTCAAGAATGTTCTCTCTAGGTGATGGAAAAGAGGGGACTGAAGGTCAGGAGAGAAGTGGCAGGGCCTAATGAAAAAACCTTAGACTGGTTTTTCTACTCACCAGGTAATACTGAGGGTCATTATTTAACCTTCAAGGGATACGAGTTACCTTGCCAACATGGTAAGATGACACCAACCCAGAAAACCTAGAGACTGAAAAAGAACTCTCCTTTCCAAAAAGCCAAACCAAACATAAAATCTTAAAATCCTAGAATTCTAGGTTTGAGTTGGATCTTCAAGAATTAACCAGAATCTTCTGCTTCTGGGTTATATTACCCTGGAAAACATTCTGAGAAGATGAACACATTTGCTATGCCCAATTCTTAACTCAGAAAGAAAAACTCTCCAGCTTCCTAACAAATGAGTTCAAAAGAAAAAAGGAAAAAGAACTAAAATTCACTGAATGCCAATTACATGCCAAGTGCTTTATATATGCCTTCTTATTTAATGCTTTCCATACCAGCATGATGGAAATTACTAAACTCATTTCATGCAAGAGAAAGCTGAGGTAAAAACAGAATAAATACCCTGTTTTAGGGAAAACACCTTATAAATGACAGAACTGGGATTCACACTGAGGTCTGCATGTCTCTACCAGAGCATGAGCTCCTGGTAGGCAGGAGACGTGGGCAGCTATCTGCTGTGATGGCCAGCCCCAGCAACAAGGCCAGACATGCTCTCAGAATGAACTACACTCCCCATTCTCACAACACTGCAACCTGCAGCCCCTCAGGAGAGGCATACCTCCTTGTAGCTAAAAATGTCTAGGAGAATATTTTCACTCAAAAAAAAAATGGTATCAATAATATGCAAGACCAGAGGACCAAATCTATCCGTTGATGTGGCTCTCCAGATACAGCTCAGTTTCCCACATTTCAACCCAAGGTAACAAATGTTTGCTGATGTAGTTTACTGAGCATTGTCCTAGGGACTGCATCTACAAAGATTAGTATACACTGTCCCCCATTTCAAGACACTGTAGCAGGGACATCAGAGGTGAACACAACTAATATGATACTATTCTAAGAAGTCCAACAATAGCAGAAAGGGGAAAGAGCTGGCAATACCAGATACCAGAAGACAGTAGGAGAATATTTTCGAAGTACCAAGTTAAAATTATTTTGCCATAGAAGTCCTAGAAGTTTTATATACCAGCTGGAAAATGAAAGACATTTTTAGATGTGAAAAAATAAAGTTTACAAGATTCAAACTTTTTCTGAAAGGATTACTGGAGAAAACACTCCAGCAAAATAGGAAATGAACCCAATTTAAAAAATAAGAACTAGAGATATAAAAATGGATTTAATGGATAATGTAAACTTATACAAATAAATGTAATATATATATAAACATATATGTATATATATAAATATATACAAACTATACTTTTAAAAATGATAGTTTGGAACAAAAATATGGGGGGAAAACACAAAATGCAAAGAACCATTACAGTCTAAATGTAATATATATATAAACATATATGTATATATATAAATATATACAAACTATACTTTTAAAAATGATAGTTTGGAACAAAAATATGGGGGGAAAACACAAAATGCAAAGAACCATTACAGTCCTAGAGGAAAGGAGAAACGTATGATACAGAAAAAATACTTGCAGAAATAATGATTGAAAATTTCTCAAAGTTCATGAAAGAAAACCCTGTAGAGTCAAGAAGCTAAGCAAACCCCACATAGGATAAACCCAAATAAATCTACTCCCAGACAAATAAATCATAATCAAATTTTTGAAGAATATAGACAAAGAAAATACCTTGAAAGTACAAGAAATGAATGACACATTACCTATGGGAGAAAATGACAGTGAATTTCTCAACAGAAACCATGGAGGCCAGAAGAAAGTGGCAGAATATTTTTCACAATCTGAAGGAAAGCAATTGTTAACCCAACAGTCTATATCTGGTAAAAATATCTTTCAGGGATCAGAAAGAAAAGTAAAGACTTAGTGAAGGAAAATGAAAGGAATCTATCTGTTCCCAGGAGACCTGCTCCAATTGTTAAAAGAAGTTATTCAGATAGAAACGAAATAATTTTTAAAAAATGAAGAAAGGAAGGAGGGAGGGACAAATGAATGAACAAACTGAGAACATGTTTGGAATGAAGAA
Source organism: Homo sapiens (assembly GCF_000001405.40). Classification (NCBI taxonomy): domain Eukaryota; kingdom Metazoa; phylum Chordata; class Mammalia; order Primates; family Hominidae; genus Homo; species Homo sapiens. Next base: position 126,793,662 of record NC_000003.12, on the reverse strand, counting down.
AGAACAATGGAAAGTGTAAATACAACAATGCCTCTCTTGAGTTTTAAAAATTATGTTTGACATTTGAAAGCAAAAAATTGTGTCACTGTCTGATGTGGCTCTCAATATATACACAGGTAATATTTAAGACAACCCCATATCATTATGGGGGGAGGGGAAAGGGATGTAATTGGTGGTAAGGTTTCTATATTCCACTTGGAGTGGTAAAATGTTGATACAGTAGACTGTGGTAAGTAGGTATATCATGATCCATAGAGTAACCACTAAAAGGCAAAGCAAAGAGAATATTTCAAAACGCTTCTGATTAATTAAAACAAAATACTACAAAATGTTCAAGTAACCCACAGGAAGACAGGGAAGGAGAAACAAAGGAATAAAAAACAGTAGAAGCATACAGAAAACAAAAAGTAAAATGGCAAACTTGAATCCTAACATATCATTAATTACATTAAATATAAATGGTATAAACATACCAATTAAAAGAAGAGACTGCTATAATGGACTTTTTAAAAAAGACCCTATTATATGCTAGCAAGCAAATTTATGTAGGTAGAATAAAGTATGAAAAAGATATACTATGTGAATACTAATGAAAAGAAAGCTGGATGGGCCATATTAATACCAGACAAAGAAGATTTTAAAGCAAAGAACATTACCAGAGAAAAAGTGAAACTTTACATAATGATAAAAGGGTCAATTCCTTGCCAAGACATAACAATCTTAATGCGTATGCACCAAACAACAGAGCTCCAAAATACACAGAACAAATGTAATACAACTGCAGGGAGAAGTAGGCAAATCTACAAAAATAGTTGAGGACTTCAACACAACTCTCAGAAACTGATACAACCACTAGACAGAAAATTAACAAGAATATAGAAGAACTGAACAACAACCATAAAAAATTGAATCTGACATTTACAGAACACTTCACATAACAATAAACATTAGTTTCAAACATACATGAAGCATTCACCAAGACAGACCATCTCCTAGCTCATAAAATGAACACTAAAATGCAAATTAATTGAAATTGTTAAAATATGTTATCTGACCACAAAGTATTAAATTAAAAATCAGAAGAAAAATAACAGGGAGCTCTCCAGAAACTGGAAAATTAAACAGTACAGTTCTAAACAAACCATGGGTCAAAGAGGAGGTCTCAAAGAAAAATGTAAAAGATGTATTTCAATACTAAACTGAATGAAAATAAAATAACACATCAAAAGTCTGTGGGCTGCATGGAGAAACTGGCACCCCTGTGCATGGAAGGTGGAAATATAAAATGGTGCAGTGCTACAGAAAACAGTTTGGTGTTTTCTCAAAAGGTTTAATACAGAACTACCATATAATGGACTTCTAAGTATATATTCTAGAATATATATTCTAATATATTCTATATTAGAATATATATTCTATATTAGAATATATATTCTAAGTATATATTCCTGAAAGCAGGAACTTGAACAGATATTTGTACACCAACATTCACAGCAGCATCATTCACAATAGCCAAAAGGTAGAAGCAACCCAAGTGTCCATCAACGGATGAATGGATAAACAAACTGCTATATATATACACAATGGAATATTACTCAGCCTTAAAAAGGAAGGAAATTCTGTATGTGTTATAACATGGACGAACCCCGAAAACGTTATACTTCGTGAAATAAGCCAAAGATGGACAAATACTATATAATTCTACTTATATGAAGTAACTAGAATATGCAAACTGACAGAAACAGAAAGTAGAGGCCAGCATGGTGGCTCATGCCTATAATCCCAGCACTTTGGGAGGCCAAGGCAGGTGGATCGCCTGAGGTCAGGAGTTGGAGACCAGTCTGGCCAACATGGTGAAACCCTGTCTCTACTAAAAATACAAAAACTTAGCTGGGCATGGTGGCATACACCTGTAATCCCAGCTACTTGGGAGGCTGAGGCAGGAGAATCTCTTGAACCTGGGAGGTGGAGGCTGCAGTGAGCCAAGATCGTGCCATTGCACTCCAGCCCAGGCAACAAGAGCAAAACTCCATCTCAAAAAACAAAAAAGGTCACACACCCACGGAGCCTCGCTCATTGTTAGCACAGCAGTTTGAGATCCAACTGCAAGGAAGCAGTGAGGCTGGGGGAGGGGCGCCCGCCATTGCTGAGGCTTGAGTAGGTAAACAAAGAGGCCAGGAAGGTCGAACTGGGTGGAGCCCACTGCAGCTCAAGGAGGCCTGCCTGCCTCTGTAGACTCCACCTCTGGGGGCAGGGCATAGCCGAACAAAAGGCAGCAGAAAACTCTGCAGACTTAAATGTCCCTGTCTGACAGCTTTGAAGAGAGTAGTGGTTCTCCCAGCACGGAGTCTGAGATCTGAGAATGGACAGACTGCCTCCTCAAGTGGGTCCCTGACCGCCAAGGAGCCTAACTGGGAGGCACCCCCCAATAGGGGCAGACTGACACCTCAAACGGCCGGGTACCCCTCTGAGATGAAACTTCCAGAGGAACATTCAGACAGCAACATTTGCTGTTCAGCAATATTTGCTGTTCTGCAGCCTCCACTGCTGACACCCAGGCAAACAGGGTCTGGAGTGGACCTCCAGCAAACTCCAACAGACCTGCAGCTGAGGACCCTGACTGTTAGAAGGGAAACTAACAAACAGAAAGGACATCCACACCAAAACCCCATCTGTACCTCACTATCATCAAAGACCAAAGGTAGATAAAACCACAAAAATGGGGAAAAAACAGAAGAGAAAAACTGAAAATTCTAAAAATCAGAGCACCTCTCCTCCTCCAAAGGAAAGCAGCTCCTCACCAGCAACGGAACAAAGCTGGATGGAGAATGACTTTGACAACTTGAGAGAAGAAGGCTTCAGACAATCAAACTTCTCTGAGCTAAAGGAGGAAGTTTGAACCCATCACAAAGAAGTTAAAAACCTTGAAAAAAGATTAGACGAATGGCTAACTAGAATAACCAATGTAGAGAAGGCCTTAAATGACCTGATGGAGCTGAAAACCATGGCACAAGAACTACATGACGAATGCACAAGCTTCAGTAGCTGATTCAATCAGCTGGAAGAAAGGGTATCAATGATTGAAGATCAAATGAATGAAATGAAGCGAGAAGAGAAGTTTAAAGAAAAAAGAGTAAAAAGAAATGAAAAAAGCCTCCAAGAAATATGGGACTATGTGAAAGGACCAAATCTACGTCTGATTGGTGTACCTGAAAGTGACAGGGAGAATGGAACCAAGTTGAAAAACACTCTGCACTATTTTACCCAGGAGAACTTCCCCAACCTAGCAAGGCAGGCCAACATTCAAATTCAGGAAATACAGAGAACACCACAAAGATACTCCTCGAGAAGAGCAACTCCAAGACACATAACTGTCAGATTCACCAAAGTGAAATGAATGAAAAAATGTTAAGGTCAGCCAGAGAGAAAGGTTGGGTTACCCACAAAGGGAAGCCCATCAGACTAACAGCTGATCTCTCAGCAGAAACTCTACAAGCCAGAAGAGAGTGGGGGCCGATATTCAACATTCTTAAAGAAAAGAATTTTCAACCCAGAATTTCATATCCAGCCAAACTAAGCTTCATAAGTGAAGAGAAATAAAATCCTTTACAGACAAGCAAATGCTGAGAGATTTTGTCACCACCAGGCCTGCCCTACAAGAGCTCCTGAAGCAAGCACTAAACATGGAAAGGAACAACTAGTAGCAACCACTGCAAAAACATGCCAAATTGTAAAGACCATCGAGACTAGGAAGAAACTGCATCAACTAACGAGCAAAATAATCAGCTAACATCATAATGACAGGATCGAATTCACACATAACAATATTAACCTTAAATGTAAATGGGCTAAATGTTCCAATTAAAAGACAGAGAGTGGCAAATTGGATAAAGAGTCAAGACCCATCGGTGTGCTGTATTCAGGAAACCCATCTCACGTGCAGAGACACATATAGGCTCAAAATAAAGGGATGGAGGAAGATCTACCAAGCAAATGGAAAACAAAAAAGGCAGGGATTACAATCCTAGTCTCTGATAATCAAACAGACTTTAAACCAACAAAGATCAAAAGAGACAAAGAAGGCCATTACATAATGGTAAAGGGTGCAATTCAACAAGAAGAGCTAACTATCCTAAATATATCTGCACCCAATACAGGAGCACCCAGATTCATAAAGCAAGGCCTTAGAGACCTACAAAGAGACTTAGACTCCCACACAACAATGATGGGAGACTTTAACACCCCACTGTCAACATTAGACAGATCAACGAGACAGAAAGTTAACAAGGATACCCAGGAATTGAACTCAGCTCTGCACCAAGTGGACCTAATAGACATCTACAGAACTCTCCACCCCAAATCAACAGAATATACATTCTTCTCAGCACCACACCGCACTTATTCCAAAATTGACCACATAGTTGGAAGTAAAGCACTCCTCAGCAAATGTAAAAGAACAGAAATTATAACAAACTGTCTCTCAGACCACAGTGCAATCAAACTAGAACTCAGGATTAAGAAACTCACTCAAAACTGCTCAACTATATGGAAACTGAACAACCTGCTCCTGAATGATTAATGGATACATAACGAAATGAAGGCAGAAATAAAGATGTCCTTTGAAACCAATGAGAACAAAGACACAACACACCAGAATCTCTGGGACACATTTAAAGCAGTGTGTAGAGGGAAATTTATAGCACTAAATGCCCACAAGAGAAAGCAGGAAAGATCTAAAATTGACATCCTGACATCACAATTAAAAGAACTAGAGAAGCAAGAGCAAACACATTCAAAAGCTAGCAGAAGGCAAGAAATAACTAAGATCAGAGCAGAACTGAAGGAGATAGAGACACAAAAAACTCTTCAAAAAATCAATGAATCCAGGAGCTGGTTGTTTGAAAAGATCAACAAAATTGATAGACCGCTAGCAAGGCTAATGAAGAAGAGAGAAGAATCAAATAGATGCAATAAAAAAATTATAAAGGGGAGATCACCACTGATCTCACAGAAATACAAACTACCATCAGAGAATACTATAAACACTTCTACACAAATAAACTAGAAAATCTAGAAGAAATGGATAAATTCCTGGACACATAGGCCCTCCCAAGACTAAACCAGGAAGAAGCTGAATCCCTGAATAGACCAATAACAGGCTCTGAAATTGAGACAATAATTAATAGCTTACCAACCAAAAAAAGTCCAACACCAGACGGATTCACAGCAGAATTCTACCAGAGGTACAAGGAGGAGCTGGTACCATTCCTTCTGAAACTATTCCAATCAATAGAAAAAGAGGGAATCATCCCTAATTCATTTTATGAGGCCAGCATCATCCTGATACCAAAGCCTGGCAGAGACACAACCAAAAAAGAGAATTTTAGACCAATATCCCTGAAGAACATCAATGCGAAAATCCTCAATAAAATACTGGCAAACGAAATCCAGAAGCACATCAAAAAGCTTATCCACCATGATCAAGTGGGCTTCATCCCTGGGATGCAAGGCTGGTTCAACATACGCAAATCAATAAACATAATCCATCATATAAACAGAACCAAAGACAAAAACAACATGATTATCTCAATAGATGCAGAAAAGGCCTTTGACAAAATTCAACAGCCTTCATGCTAAAAACTCTCAATAAATTAGGTATTGATGGGACGTATCTCAAAATAATAAGAGATATTTATGACAAACCCACAGCCAATATCATACTGAATGGGCAAAAACTGGAAGCATTCCCTTTGAAAACTGGCACAAGACAGGGATGCCCTCTCTCACCACTCCTATTCAACATAGTGTTGGAAGTTCTGGCCAGGGCAATTAGGCAAGAGAAAGAAATAAAGGGTATTCAATTAGGAAAAGAGGAAGTCAAACTGTCCCTGTTTGCTGATGACATGATTGTATATTTAGAAAACCCCATCGTCTCAGCCCAAAATCTCCTTAAGCTGATAAGCAACTTCAGCAAAGTCTCAGGATACAAAATCAATGTGCAAAAATCACAAGCATTCCTATACACCAATAACAGACAAACAGAGAGCCAAATCATGAGTGAACTACCATTCACAATTGCTTCAAAGAGAATAAAATACCTAGGAATCCAACTTACAAGGGATGTGAAGGACCTCTTCAAGGAGAACTACAAACCACTGCTCAAGGAAATAAAAGAGGATACAAACAAATGGAAGAACATTCCATGCTCATGGATAGGAAGAATCAATATCGTGAAAATGGCCATACTGCCCAAGGTAACTTATAGATTCAATGCCATCCCCATCAAGCTACCAATGACTTTTTTCACAGAATTGGAAAAAACTACTTTAAAGTTCATATGGAACCAAAAAAGAGCCCGCATTGCCAAGTCAATCCTAAGCCAAAAGAACAAAGCTGGAGGCATCATGCTACCTGACTTCAAACTATACTACAAGGCTACAGTAACCAAAACAGCATGGTACTGGTAACAAAACAGAGATACAGACCAATGGAACAGAACAGAGCCCTCAGAAATAATACCACACATCTACAACTATCTGATCTTTGACAAACCTGACAAAAACAAGAAATGGGGAAAGGATTCCCTATTTAACAAATTGTGCTGGGAAAACTGGCTAGCCATATGTAGAAAGCTGAAACTGGATCCTTTCCTTACACCTTATACAACAATTAGTTCAAGATGGATTAAAGACTTAAATGTTAGACCTAAAACCATAAAAACCCTAGAAGAAAACATAGGCAATACCATTCAGGACATAGGCATGGGCAAGGACTTCATGTCTAAAACACCAAAAGCAATGGCAACAAAAGCCAAAATTGACAAATGGGATCTAATTAAACTAAAGAGCTTCTGCACAGCAAAAGAAACTACCATCAGAGTGAACAGACAACCTAAAAAATGGGAGAAAATTTTTGCAATCTACTCATCTGACAAAGGACTAATATCCAGAATCTACAATGATCTCAAACAAATTTACAAGAAAAAAACAACCCCATCAAAAAGTGGGCGAAGGATATGAACAGACACTTCTCAAAAGAAGACATTTATGCAGCCAAAAGACACATGAAAAAATGCTCATCATCACTGGCCATCAGAGAAATGCAAATCAAAACCACAATGAGATACCATCTCATACCAGTTAGAATGGCAATCATTAAAAAGTCAGGAAACAACAGGTGCTGGAGAGGATGTGGAGAAATAGGAACACTTTTACACTGTTGGTGGGACTGTAAACTAGTTCAACCATTGTAGAAGTCAGTGTGGCGATTCCTCAGGGATATTGAACTAGAAATACCATTTGACCCAGCCATCCCATTACTGGGTATATACCCAAAGGACTATAAATCATGCTGCTATAAAGACACACACACATGTATGTTTATTGCGGCACCATTCACAATAGCAAAGACTTGGAACCAACTCAAATGTCCAACAATGATAGACTGGATTAAGAAAATGTGGCACATATACACCATGGAATACTATGCAGCCATAAAAAATGATGAATTCATGTCCTTTATAGGGACATGGATGAAGCTGGAAACCATCATTCTCAGCAAACTATCACAAGAACAAAAAACCAAACACCGCATGTTCTCACTCATAGGTGGGAACTGAACAATGAGAACACTTGGACACAGGAAGGGGAACATCACACACTGGGGCCTGTTGTGGGGTGGGGGAAGAGGGAAGGGATAGCATTAGGAGATATACCTAATGTAAATGACAAGTTTATGGGTGCAGCACACCAACATGGCACATGTATACATATGTAACAAACCTGCACGTTGTGCACATGTACCCTAGAACTTAAAGTATGATAAATATCTACTTATATATATGTATAAAAGAAACAAAGTAGAAATTACCAGGGGCTGGGGGGAGGAAAAATTGGGACATTTATTATTTAATTGGGGACAGTTATTATTTAATGGATAGAGTCTGCAATGATGAAAAAATCTGGAAATGCATAGTGATACGGCTGTAAAACATGGTAAATGTACTTAATGCTAGTTAATGTATACTTTAAAATGTTTAAGATGGTTAATTTTATATTATGTAAATTTTACAATTTAAAAACAAACTATGAGCTGTACCTAAAGCACAGCTCAGAGGGAAATGTACAACATTTGTGGCAAGCAGCTCCCAAAGATCCCCTTCTGGTATTCACATCACTGTGTTATGCTCTCCCTTGACTATGGGAGCAAGAGTGACTGTCAGACTTCTGAGAGCTAGAAGATAAAATGTTCATGTGTTTGAAGCCACTAACTGGTAATCTGTTACAGCAGTAATAGAAAACTAACACAAAGCAGTTTCCAACTAGGGTGATTTTGCCCCCTGCCCCAGGGTGACTTTGCTGCCCACGGGAGATATGGAAACATCTGGAGATTGTTTTGGTTGGCACACCTAGAAAAGTGTTATTGGCATCTAGTGAGTAGAGGCCAGGGATTCTGCTAAACTTTCTATAATGAAAAGGACAGTCACCACCCGCCAGCCACACAACAAAGAAGCATCCAACCCAAGATGTCACCAGAGCTGAGGCTGAGAAACTCTGTACTATGGCCGTGCAAGTTGTGCAAGATGACATTACTGGAGAAAAACTGGATGAAGGAAACATGGGAATTAAACATTTTTGTAAATATATAAGTATAATCACAAGGAGAATAGAAGAATACACAGCTTCTAAACCACTAGAAGCAGGAAAAATAAATACATAAAGTACTTTGGAAATTCTGGGAAAATATATAAGCTAAGGAAAAGGAATCAATAGGGAGGGGAAAATGAAAAACACAAGCAAAAGGAATGACAATTGGTATATAAAAGTCCAAAAAAACCTCTCAAAATCCAGTGAGGATCACAAGTATGAAAGGAAAATAGTGAGTGAAGAGACAGGCACTAATGTGAAAGCGTGAAACTGGGGGAGGAGGGGTCAGATTATTTGGCCCCTTTTTTCTTCCATGAACTGAGAGGCAGTGGTATCTGCTGACACTGGGGGATGCCTGAACAGGGAAAGGTGTGAAAAGTTTCTGTGGGAAAATTATATGGGGCATGAGTGAGGGTGGGACGGTGCTGTTGCTGAGCAGCACTGAGGCTGGGCAGCTCTGTGTGGAGTACACCAGGTAGTCTACAAATTAGCACCAAAGCTTTCTCCAGCCACATTCCACAGTTGGGGGCAGAAAGCAGCAGCAAGGCAGTGGGGGCAGGTATTATGTATAATGAGTGCTAGCAGGAGGAGAGTGACATCCACAATGGCTGACAAGGGGGTCTGCCCTGGGTGGGAAGACAAAGGAAACAGGAAGAGGCTGCTGGGCTGAGAACAGGGAAGTTTTCAGAATGCATTGAAAGGAAAGAGAAAGTTCAATAGGAAAGAGAGCACGAAGAGCAAAACAGTGGAACTGTGGTCAGAGAAAACTTTTGTTGTTCAAGATCTTGATAGAAGCCTGGGTTTCTTATGGAGAATAAAGATGGGCACCACTGAGGAAAAGAAAACCATGAGGCGGTGGGGAGTGTGAAATAGATTCCTGCCCATCCTATTTGTGGCAAGCACATCTACTGACTCTCACAGAAAGCTACCTGCAGGCAGCTGTCAAGAGTTCTCCATGTACAAGACATAGTGTCTCCAGGAGAGGTCAACAGAAAAATGAGTGCAGTGGGGATACAAAAAAAGGTTCAAACAGATTCTCCCCATTCATATTAAGAGTGCCCTCTTACCCTCCCCCAAAAGTATTGAATTACTTATCTCTTTCTGATCCAAGTTCCTTAACAAGGACAATCTCATGAATTTAATCCCAGTTTGTACCAGACCCCCCTCCCACCACGTAAAATGGCAGGCCTGCATGCCTGATCATGGCCCCAAGCTGCACCTCTCACACAGCCCTCTACCTTACAGATCACAGCTGCTGATCAAAAAGGCCTCTGAGGCTCCAAACCAAGTAGCCTCACTAATGGAAAAACATCTCAAAACCTAAAGTTGATGCTATGTAAATGGGATTGTTTTCTTAATTTCTTTTTCAGATAGGTCATTATTAGTATATAGAAATGCAATTGATATTTCTATGTTGATATTGCATCCTGCAATTTTACAGTTCTAACAGTTTTTTGGTGAAGTTTTTAGGAACTTCTATATATAAGACCACTTCATTTGCAAACAGAGACAACTTAACTTCTTTTCTGATTTGGATGCTTTCTATTTCATTTTCTTGCCTGACTGCTCTGGCTAGGACTTCGAGCCCTGTGTTGAATAGAAGTGGCAAGAGTGGGCACCCTTGTTTCTGATCTTACAGAAAAAGCTTTCAGTCTTTCACTGTTCAGTATAACATTAGCTGTGGGCTTGTCATATGTAGCCTTTGTATACTGAGGAACATTTCTTCTATATGAATGCTGACGATTTTTATCATGAAAGGATGTTGAATTTTGTCAAATGCTTTCTACAGCTATTGAGATGATCACATGACATTATGCTAGGTGAAATAAGCCAGTCACAGAAAGACAAATGCTACATGATCTCACTTATATGTAGAACTTAGAGAAACAAAGGGTGGATGCCAGAGGCTATGGGGTAGGGGAGAGGTAGGTCAAAGAGTACAAACTTTCACATATAAGATGAATTTAGTTCTGGATATCTAATGTACAGAATGGTGACTATAGTTAATAATCAGTGGGGAAATGACTCCCTATTCAATAAATGGTGCTGGACTAACTGACCAGCCATATGCAAAAGATTGATACTGAACCCCTACCTTACACCATATACAAAAATCATCTGCCTGCCCAGCATCCATTCCCCCTTCTGGTAAAAGCCTGTTGATTATGTGTGTTTTGGGGGTGGAGGGAAGAATGACTGTTTCCTCCCACAATGTGTGCATTCCTGATTCCTGGCAAGACAGTCGAAGTGCTCCACCCTCCACTGCCAAGGGTGTGACTTGCTCAGGAATTTGAAGCAATCAAGTATGAGATGGCAGACTGGAAACGCTGGAGCTGATTCATTCTAGAGTGGTGTCTGCGGGAGGACCTGCCTACTGATGCCCCCACCTTGGACCCTGAGTCTAGCTCTCTTCTTCTAAGGCCTGCTTCTTCAACTTTCCCTTTGCTTCTGTGAGCTTCCCTGTATCCTTGTAGTAAATTCACATCATTTTGCTTGAGTTAGGCAGAGCAGGCTTTCATTGAAGAAATTTAATGAAAGGCAGCATCGGATTGGAATCAGAAACGGCTGGCCTCCTTTCTCTAAAGCGTATGACATCGGCCTGGGCCTTACTCAACCGTCAATGAAATGTAATGTCAGACAGCTCGCAGTCAGAGGCCAGAACAGACACTAAAACCAACAGGGAAGTGGGCAACATCCAAAGACTAGGAGAGACAGAAGGGCCTGGCACTGTAGAAATGCAAGAGTAAGAACAGAGCACAACAAACAGGCAGCCCCTTCATTATTCAATTACTCACTATGTAAATCGAGAATTAATGTTCACGGGTTCTGGTGAGTGACATAATTACAATTTAGAAAGGGCAATTAATCATTGGCTTGTTGTTCACTGCCTTGCTGGGAGCAGTTTGCTTCATGAACACCAGTAAAGCCACAAAAGTATTAAACACACGAATGACTACCACCACCAAATTCCAGTCTTCTTTTCCCTCTCCCCACCCGCCAACTCCTCTGACTGGGCTCAGCCGCAGATCTTACATCTGTTTCTCATTTCTCGTGTGACACTCCCAGACCCTCCCCTAATCTCCACCCTCCAAGAAGAGGCTTTTCCCCTTCACTGCTGGCAAAGACAAGGGCTTCCTAATACTGTTTGCTGCAAGAAAAGAAAAAGACTTTGGGCCTCTGGATCTCAGCTCCAAGAGGCTAAAAAAGAGAGTGGGAAAATGAAGTTGAGAGAGACAAGGATAAAGAAGGAGGGAATGGCAAGAATGAAAGGCAGATGGATGAAATGGGCTGGGTACCGGGATAATGCAGGCCTCTCAGCATGGGCGCAGAACACTGGCATCTGGCTCTGAAAGCAGGGCTGCCAGCAGCATCTTCTCCAGATCAGCATCTTTCTACAGACTGAAGGCAGCCCTTGCTCCAGTCCTGACCCCTCGCCTGATGCCCAGCTGCTCAACTGGACTCCAAAACCATACACAAGGCAGGAGGCCAGCAGATGCATCTCTGTCTTCTAACAAGCAGATTGCAACTAAGTGTTCTCCTAGAGGATGCATTTCCAGGAGAAAATCCCTTAAAGAAAAAACTTCAGGGATCTAGTTCTACTTCATGAAACCAGGCAAGAATGAATATTGTCACTTCAATGCTACCACTGCCTCAGGCCAAATTAGAGTATTACTGCTTCTAACTCTTGTGCTAGAAATGGCCCTGCTGGTCTGAGACCTCTGTGCGTGTATGTCTGTCTTGGCCTCTTCCACCGTCTTGACTATAAAGATCCTGGGGTAGACACTGTTCATTGGCGCCCTAGCAGCCACTCCCCTCTAAAGCTCCTACCTTCCTTCATGCCAGTGGAGTCCTAGTTTTGTAGGCATTTACTTCATGCCTCTGATCTCAGGAAAGGCAGGCTCTTCTGGCAGCCTCAGGGGAAGCTGTGCCCAATCTAGTGAAACCATGGTAATCCTACTGTCCTTTACAGTGGTGGGTCTGAGATGGTCACAGGTCTCAGCTCCAGCCAATGAGACATGTGCAAAAGTGGCTGGAGAAGTGTCTTTCCTGCTTGAGGTGCTGATGTGAGGACTGGATGCCTTGTGACCATGAGGGAAAAGGCCACAGAACTGTGGGGAAGCCACCATCTGCTCAGACACAGGTGGAATAGCACACTATATCAGCATTCGTCTGCCTGCAGTCTTCTTGTGCAGGAAGATAATACATGGTTGGGCTGTTAAGCCTCTGATAGTTGGGTGTTCTGTCCCTTGAGGCCAAAAGCAGTCCACACACAGCAGCATTACCCTGAAGCACAGCCTCTTCACACACCTTGCTAATTAATCCAAAGGCCTGAAACAGCACCACAGAGGTAGGATGACCAAGGATCTTAGCAAGCGGGCCATCAAGGCCACTGCAAGTCTAGACAGGCAAGCCAGAATCAAGAAGATGACCCTCCAAAGCAAGGGAGAATCAGGCGAAGATAAGGGGCCATCTGTGTAATAAAAGGGGGGAAGATTAAACAGGGAAAAGAAAGTACAGAAAATACTATTTTGTATATGCATCAGCTACCTCTGGACGAACACAGAAGAAATCAATAACAACTCTTACCCAAGGCAGGGAGCCAGGCGGCTGGAAGATTGGAGTGATGGAGCCTTTTTATTGGATACCTTTGGACTTTTGAATCATGTCAATGTATTATCTGTTCAAAAATAAAACCACAAATGAAGGAAATTAATAGAAAAAACTAAAAACAAAAGGTGGGAGAAACCCTCCCTTAGGTGTTTCCCTAACTTTCATTATCCAAGTGATGAAAACACTTGAAGACAAACCATTCTTAAATTCTGGATGGCTAGACCCAAGCTTACGTGCCTGATAGGAGCTCTCCATTAAAAGGGATGATTAGTGTGACAAACACAGATGCATCACACTGAGACTTTGTTTTTTAAATACACAGAAGGTAAATCACTATACGATTTGCTTACTACAGTATTAGTGATATAAGCTCATTGGCAGGATCTGGAACACACTTAACTGACCAAAAGGAATATTCTCTCACATTTTCATTGATTAAGTCTCTACAGCTGGCTCTGATGCACTCACAAGACCAGTATATAGTAGATACTGAGCTGGATGCTAAAGAGAAGTAAAGATAAATAGGACATGACTTTTTCTTGCCCTAAGGAGTTTATAACCTTAATAGGGCAGATAAGACATACAACAGAGGTGCTTAATATCTGTATTTATCTATTATGAAATCAACTATATATGCTTGGCAAAAACTAAATATTTTTACTTTCAACAAGCATGCCAGGACAACTCAATGGGGAAAGACTAGTCTTTTCAACAAATAGTGCTGGGACAACTGGATATCCAGAGTTTTGTTTGTGAATAATGGATTTAGACCTCTGTCTTACACCTTACATAAAAATTAACTCCAAAGACATCACAGACCTAAATATAAGAGCTAAAACTATAAAATTCTTTTTTTTTTTTTTTTTTTTTTGAGATGGAGTCTCGCTCTGTTGCCAGGATGGAGTGCAGTGGAGCGATCTCGGCTTACCGCAACCTCCACTTCCCAAGTTCAAGTGATTCTCCTGCCTCAGCCTCCTGAGTAGCTGGGAGTACAGGCACGCGCCACCATGCCCAGCTAATTTTTGTATTTTTAGTGGAAACAGGGTTTCACTATGTTGGTCAGGCTGGTCTCAAACTCCTGACCTCGTGATCCACCTGCCTTGGTGTTCCAAAGTGCTCGGATTACAGGCGTGAGGCACTGCACCCGGCCTAAAACTACAAAATTCTTAGAAGAATCATAGGTGTAAGTCTTCAGGACCTTGGGTTAGGCAAAATCTTACTAGAGGTGACAATAAAAGTACCAGCAATAAAGAAAAATTACCAGGCACAGTGGTTCATGCCTATAATCCCAAAACTTACTTAAATAAACAAATAATAAAAAGTAGGTAAACTGGACTTCATCAAAATTTAAAACTTTTGGCCTGGTGTAGTGGCTCATGTCTGTAATCCTTTGGGAGGCATTGCCTGAGCCCAGAAGTTCAAGACCAGCCTAGGCAACATAGTGAGACCCTCTCTCTACCAAAAAAAAAAAAAAAAAAAATTTAATGAGCCAGGCGTGGTGGCACATGGCTGTAGTTCCAGCTACTCAGGAGGCTGAGGTGGGAGAACTGGTTGAGCCCAGGAGTTCAAGGCTGCCTGCAGTGAGCTATGATTACACCACTGCACTCCAACTGGGCAACAGGGCAAGACCCTGTCTTCAAAAAACACTGAAAACTTTTGTGCTTCAAAGGACACTATCAAGTAAGTGAAAAGAAACCCAGGAAATGTGAGAAAATTTTTGTAAATCATTATCTCAAAGGATTACTATCCAGAACATATCAAAAAAACCTCCTTCAGCTCAACAGCAAAAAGACAAATAATCCAATTAAAAATGGACAAAGGATCTGAATAGACATTTCTCCAAAAAAGATATATAAATAGCCAATAAGCACATGAAAAGATATTCAACATCATTAGCCATTAAGAAATGCAAATCGTAACCACAATGAGATACCACATCACATCCACTAGGATGCCTATACTCAAAAAGACAAGCGTTGGTGAAGATGTGGAGAAACTGGAACCCTCACACATTGCTAGTGCGAATGTAAAATGGTGCTGGCAGCCACTTTGGAAAACAGTCCCAACATTCCTCAGAAAGTTAAACATAGAGTTACTATTTGATCCAACCATTCCATTGCAAAGTATATAACCAACAGGAATAAAAACATATCCACAGAAAAACTTGTAGACAAATGTTTACAGCAGCACTATTCATAGTAGCTAAAAAAGTGGAAACAGCCCAAATATCCATCAACTGGTTAATGGATATATAAAATGTGATATGGCCATACAATGGAATATTGGTGGTAGAAGGAAATGAAGTACTAATACATGCTACAGCATAGGTGAATCTTGAACACATTATGCTAAATGAGAAGCTAGTCACAAAGACCACATATTCTATGATTCCATTTATATGGCATGTTCAGAACACACAAAAATCCATAGAGACAAAGTTGATTAGATGTTGCCTGGGACTAAGGGTTGTGGGAAATAGGGAGTGACTGCTAATGGGTAGAGAGTTTCTTTTGGGAGTGACAAAAATGTTCTAAAATTGACTGTGGTGATGGTTGTACAACTCTATGAATATACTAAAAATAATTGAGTTAGATACTTTGAATGGGAGACATATGGTAAGTGAATTATATCTTAATAAAGCTGTTAAAATAAAACCAGTTTTCTTTAAGCTTTGAAAATGGAGAACAATTGCCATTCCTCTCAATGAGCAAATGCCTTGGAAAGGAGCTCAACGTGCCTGCTACAGGGCTGCCACCTATGGCCATGCAGGCTGAGCCCCAGAGTGGGAAGTATGGAGTGGGAAGTATGCAGTGTGGCAGTGCTTATCTAAGCAGAAGAGGTGCCTCCTGCAGTCTGCCTCATTTCTGTGTGTCTCCTAGAGGGTATCTTGTTACACTTAACAAGCTCATCCAATGTTGAAGATTAGCATTTTTTCTGTAACATGGCCCCAAAACACAAGCGGCTATTTCACGTGGTTCTGATTTGGTGCTGAAATAACTATTGATTTGGTAACTAATGATCTGGGGCTGATCTGATGCTGAAATAGTGATTTGCCTAATGTAGAAGAAAAAAACTGAGTGTACTGAACTGCAAACCCAAACCTAACCAGTCTTCCTTCCTAAAATGTATGCCTGGGTAGTTTTGACCATGTATGATTTCTACCTTACAAGCTGATTTGAAGTCTGAATACCTTGGAAAAGACAAATCCATTAAATAAAAACATAGAAAACCAGGTAAAATAAGTATTATAAAGAAATGCTATGGGTTTCAAGGGAGGGGAGAAGAAATGACAGCTGACTGGCAGAGTAGCATGGGACGAGAATGGCTGGTGTGGCAGGTGAAGTCTGAGCTAGACACAGAGGGTGGAAGAGACTGAGACAGGTGGGCTGGCTCAAAGGCATAGAGCGGCAGGGAGGCAATAATGAAGAGGAAGACCCTGAAACTAGAGGCCAGGTCTTCACCTACAGCTCTGGCACTTTCTAGAAGTGTGGCCTGGGGCAAGTCACTTTGCCTCTTTGTGTCCCAGTTTCCTATAAAGTGGGAATAACACCATATGTAATTGAATCTAAGACACCATCGATTATAACATGAACCATTATTCCATTACCACTAAGAAAAAAAATGATGTTGGTTATGTCACTGGTTATAAAATGTATCCCTAATTCAAAGATGTTATAAGAAAAAAATTCACCTCAGAATTGAATATGGTAACAACTACTCAGAGTTGATATGAGAATTAAATGATTATATGTAAAGTAAATATGATTGCTGTTGTTGCTATCAATATTTGACAAATATTTGTTGAGCAACTACTAAGTGCCCTCAAGGTCCTATGCCTAAGATAAACATGGTCCCAATCCTTAGGAATTCAGAATCGATCCAAACAGGACAAAAAACAGGGAAGTCAGAAGAGGGATGTGTGCAGGACTGGTCACAGGTGGTGATCTCTAGCTTGACTGGAATATAACTGAAGCCTCACTTTACTGAGCTGAGAGAATGTAAGGCAGATTAGGATCTAAAGTAAAGAGAGCATCAGACATAATCAGAACTCTTCTTGAAACACCCTGTCTCCCCTGTGAAGTACATATATACAACTTTATATCCAATTCTGTATGATACTACAAAGGCAGTGACATAGAGTACCCAGGATAGCATCCATATGCAAAATATAATTTAGGAGCCATGTTGTACCAAAAACAATGTTCACACTAAAACGCACTGTAGCAAGATGCTCAAACTATTAACAGAGAAATTATTAAAGAAGACCCAAGACAACCAGAAGCACAGCCAATTCATGTTTCCCACTCCACATTCACCCCAAGGCAACACCTACTAAGGGAATGGTAGCTGAGCCGATCATCATATTCTTCCACTTCAGATCCCAGCTCACCTTCCACACTGGTCTCCGTGATGCTGGGCCTGGCTGGCACTCAGCGAATCCCACTCCTGTGTGGCGATGTGGCTCCATGAAAGTCTCTCCAATAGGGAGTGCTACAGGAAATCCGCACCTGCACCCAGTGTGCTTCCTCTCCCTTCTTGTTCTGAGGAACATGACCCCAGCAGGGTTCCTTTACCGGAACAGTTCTGCCCTGGAGCAGCCGCTGATTTGAGCCTGCAGTTTTTCCAAAACCCGCAGAAGCAACTTCATCATACCTCACCCTTGAAGATAAAAGTCTCAGCCATGAGGTGCCCCTCCATGAAGCTCTGAGTTACATGGGGACTTTCCTTAACCTCTAGAGTTTTAGTAACTGTGACATCTTCCCTTTGATTCTTCAGCCCTACAGCTGGTGGTAGCTGCTGCTTGCGGTTGCTAACTCCGTAATACTTTAATGTTCCCTTTTACCCTTTCAATAACCTAGTTAATAACCTTGTACCCAGTTACTGACTTTTGAAATCAAATTCTCTGCTCCAATAATTGCTGTAGTTTCTCCTGGCTGGGCCTTAACTGATACAGCAACATATTACTCCTCACTTTCTATTTTAAATTCTCTCTCGGGACATGAAGAGGCAATTCATAAGAGAGGGAAAAATCAGGCCCATAAATATATGAAAAATATTCAATCTCTATTTGAAACCAAAGAAACAAAAATTAATACCACTGACACACATTTCTGTCTGTCAGATCAACAAGATGGAAAAGGATGCTAGGACTCAGTGCTGGCCACAGGCACTCTCAGACACTGCTGGTAGGAACGTAAACTGGAATTACTGTCTTATGGAGGAAAATCTGATGATAATGTGAACCAAATCTTTGAAATTTAGGTCAAAAAATAAGACACTGCAAGAGTAGATTCACTTCTTCCTATTGCCTCTGCAAATATAGCTAAAAACCCTGGACATCACATACACAAAGCAGATATAAAAAGGTTCTAAAAAGCAGATACAAGACGGCAGTGTGGCTAGGAGCCTCAGGACCCAGAATGATAGGACAGTGGATTCCCTGAGTTTTCTTCTTGCCTCATTATCTCAGACTGGGTGCTGGAGGGGATGCCAATGGGAATAAACCAGGAAAGCCCCCCAGAAAAGCCAGCTCTTTCTAGCCAAAGGACCAGGAAAGAAGCAGCTTAGCAAGACAGTCAAATTTAGACAGTAAACTTTTAGATAACAAGTACACTGCTCCAGCCTAACACCACAGAAATAGCTGCACTGCCACCCTCACCAGCAAAGGCCAACTGGAGACCCTGGACTTCCACCCTCACAAAACAAGATGCCTCAACCCACCTTCCCTGCCAGGGTGTCAGAGAAGAGCAAGGGTGGTGGAGCTCTGACTACCACCCAAGCGTGGTGAGGCCTTCCCTGTCGGTGGAGATCACTTGGGGAGCAGTAAGCAGGTGCCCTTCCCCATCCCAGCCAGGGTGGTATCAGAGAAAGGCCTAGTGGGGAGCACGAAGTCGTGGTTCCAGGAATTTACAAGTAATAAAGTGACATGGAACTACACATATACATTGTACCAATGCCAACTTTTTGGTTTTGATATCGTATGATATTTACACAAGATATAACTTCTGAGGGAAATATGATGAAGGATACATGGGCCCTCTCTCTACTATCCTTACAACTTCCTGTAAATCTGTAATTTCCAAAAAATGTTTTAAGAAAGCCTTTGCAAAAGGGCATAAGAGAACTTTTTGGGAAGCTGAACAGTCTCTGTATCTTGACTGAGGTGGTTATTATATGGTTGTTACATGTTACACTCAGCAAAATCACCAACCTGAGCACTTAACGTGTGAATTTTATTGTGTATACATTAAACCTCAATAAGTTATATTTTAAAATATGCTATTAAAATATCTGAATCATATCAGTACTAATAAACAGGAAATAAAACTCTTAAATAGAATGCCAACTAGTAAATATAGAAGACATTACAGAAATATAAAATCATCATTTTATAACCACTAGCATAGTGATTCAGACAAGAATCATCAAAGAAGAGAAAAATGGTGGGACAGGCAGCTCCAAGCTCTCATCCTCCCACAGAAACATAGAAAAATATGCAGAGGCTGGGCACAGTGGCTCACACCTATAATCCCAGCACTTTGGGAGGCCGAGGCAGGAGGATTGCCTGAGCTGAGGTGTTCAAGACCAGCCTGGGCAACATAGTGAAACCCCATCTCTACTAAAATACAAAAAATTAGCTGGGCATGACAGTGTGTGCCTGTAATCCCAGCTACTTGGAAGGATGAGACAGGAGAATTGCTTGAACCTGGGAGGCAGAGGTTGCAGTGAGCCAAGATCGTGCCACTGCACTTCGCCTAGGCGACTCTGACGCTCTGTCTCAAAAAAAAAAAAAAAAAAAAAAAAGAAAAGCAGAAACTGTCAGAACCAACTTTCTCAAAGCTCTGAAAAATAGTCCAAAGTTTAAAACAAGCAAGAGAATGCTGAATAAAGAAAAAGGCCACTTGAGAACAGTAGGAAAACTTTCTGGTGTTTTTACTTGCCTTTGCCCTATCGCTGTCATGGCTCAGTTGTAGCCACATTCCCAACGTGAGACTCTGGTCCTTGGTTCCACAGGGAGCACGGCAGGTATTACTCGTAAATTATTGTGTGCATCTGTTCTAACCTGTCTGACGGCTGCCTGAAGGACTGATGCAAAGCACTTCTCCCTTTCACCTAATTCAGAACTAAGGCTGGAAAAGGGCAGGTATTACTTGAAAATACTGCAGGGAGAAAACACCTGCAAGACATTACACAAGAAGACCATCCCCAAGACATATAATCATCAGATTCTCCAAGGTCAAAATGTTAAATGCAGTTAGAGAGAAAGGGCAGGTCACCTACAAAGGGAACCCCATCAGGCTAGCAGCAGATCTTTCTACAGAAACCCTGCAAGCCAGAAGAGATTGGGGCCCTATATTCAGCATTCTTTAAGAAAAAAAAAAAGTCTAACCAAGAATTTCATATCCAGCCAAACTAAGCTTCATAAGTAAAGGAGAAATAAGATCCTTTTCCGACAAGCAAATGCTGAGGGAATTCATTACCACTAGAACTGCCTTACCAGAGGTCCTGAAAGGAGCACCAAATATTGAAAGGAAAGACTATTACTGGCCACTACAAAAACACACCAAAGTACATAGACCAGTGACACTATGAAGCAACCACACAAACAAATCTGAATAAACAGCTAATAACATGATGACAAGTTCAAATTCACACATATCAATACTAACCTTGAACATAATTGGGCTAAATACCCCATTGAAAGGCACAGAGTGGCAAGCTGGATAAAGAAGACCCAATGGTATGCTGTCTTCAAGAGACCCATCTCACATGCAATGACATCCACAGGCTCAAAATAAAGGAATACAGAAAAATCTACCAAGCAAATGGAAAACAAAAAATAGCAGGAGTTGTAATCCTAATCTAAGAGAAAACAGACTTTAAACCAACAAAGATAAAAAAGACAAAGGGCGTTACACAATGGTAAAGAGTTCAATTTAACACGAAGACCTAACTATCCTAAATGTATATATACCCAACACAGGAGCACCCAGGTTCATAAGGGAAGTTCTTAAAGACCTATGATCACGCCTGTAATTCCAGCACTTTGGGAGGCTGAAGCAGGCGGACGAGGTCAGGAGATCAAGACCATCCTGGCTAACATGGTGAAACCCTGCCTCTACTAAAAATACAAAAAATCAGCCAGGCGTGGTTGCGGGCACCTGTAGTCCCAGCTACTCGGGAGGCTGAGGCAGGAGAATGGCGTGAACCCAGGAGGCGGAGCTTGCAGTGAGCCGAGATTGCGCCACTACACTCCAGCCTGGGTGACAAAGCAAGACTCTATCTCAAAAAAACAAAAAACCTATGAAGAGACTAACATTCCTACATAATAGTAGGTGTAGATTTCAACACCCCATGACAGTATTAGAGAGACCACTGAGGCAGACAATTAACAAAGATACTCAAGACCTGGACTCAACACTTGACCAAATGGACCTAATATACATCTACAGAACTCTCCACCCAAAAACAACTTCATATTGCCACATGGCACATACAGAATGACTTTTGGGTAAGTAATGAAATTAAGGAAGAAAACAAGTAATTATTTGAAACTAATGAGAACAAAGATACAACATACCAGAATCTCTCAGGACATAGCTAAGGCAGTGTTAAGAGGGCGGTTTATAGCACTAGATACCCACATCAAAAACTTAGAAAGATCCCCAATTAACAACCTAAATCACAACTAGAAGAACCAGAGAAGCAAGAGCAAAATAGCCCCAAAGCTGGAAGACAAAAAATAACCTAAATCAGAGCTGAATTGAAAGAAATTGAGACATTAAAAACCATACGAAATATCAACAAACCCAGGAGTTGGTTATTTGAAAAAATAAATAAGATAGACCACTAGTTAGACTAACAAAGAAAATAAGAGAGGAGAACCCCCCTTTAGGGGGCCAGGCGTGGTGGTTCATGCCTGTAAGCCCAGTACTTTGGGAGGCCGAGGTGGGCGGATCAAGATCACGAGGTCAGGAGATCAAGACCATCCTGGTCAATATGGTGAAACCCCGTCTATACTAAAATACAAAAAATTAGCCGGGCGTGGTGGTACATGCCTGTAGTCCCAGCTACTCAGGAGGCTGAGGCAGGGGAATTGCCTGAACCTGGGAGGCGGAGGTTGCAGTGAGCCGAGATTGCGCCACTGCACTCCAATCTGGCGACAGAGCAAGACTCCATCTCAAAAAAAAAAAAAAGAAAAGGAAAAAGAAAAAAAGAAATAATAAAGGGTACATTACCACTGACCCCACAGAAATAGAGAAAATCATCAGAGACTACTACGAACAACTCTATGCAAAGAAACTAGAAAATCTAGAAGAAGTGGATAAATTCCTGGACACATACAACCTCCCAGGACTAAACCAGAAAGAAATTAAATCCCTCAACAGACCAATAACAAGTTCCAGAATTGAATTAGCAATAAAAACCCTACCAACCAAAAAAAGCACAAGACCAAATGGATTCACAGCTGAATTCTACCAGATTTATAAAGAATAGTTGGTACCATTCCTACTGAAACTATTTCAAAAAATTGAGGAGGAGGGACTTCTCCACAACTCATTCAATGAGGCCAGCATCATCCTGATACCAAAAACCTGGCAGAGACACAACAAAAAGAGAAAGCTTCAGCCCAATATCCTTGATAAACACAGATGCAAGAATCCTAAACAAAATACCAGCAAACCAAATCCAGTAGCACACAGAAAAGCTAATCCACCATGATCAAGTAGGCTTTATCCCTGGGATGCAAGGTTGGTTCAACATACGCATATCAATAAATGTGGTTCAACCCATTCACTGAACTAAAAACAAAACCACATGACCATCTCAATAGATGCAGAAAAGGTTTCCTATAAAATTCAACATCCCTTCATGTTAAAAACCCTCAATAAGTTAGGCATTGAAGGAGCATACTTGAAAATAAGAGCTATCTATGACAAATCCACATCCAGTATCATATTGTATGGGCAAAAGCTGGAAGCATTCCCCTTGAAAACTGGCACAACACAAGAATGTCCTTTCTGATCACTTCTATTCAACATATTATTGGAAATCCTGGCCAGAGCAATCAGACAAAAGAAAGAATAAACAGCATCCAAACAGGAAAAGAGGAAGTCAAATTATCCCTATTTGCAGACAACATGATTTTATATCTAGTCTCTGCCCAAAGCTCCCTGATCTGATAAACAACTTCAGCACAGTTTCAGGATACAAAAGCAACATACAAAAATCAGTAGCATTACTATACACCAAAAACATCCAAGCCAAGAGCCAAATCAAGAGCACAATCCCATTCACAATAGCCACAAAAAGAATAAAATACCTTAGAATACACGTAACCAAGGAGGTAAAAAATCTCTACAATGAGAATTACAAAACAAAACAAAACATGGCTCAAAGAAATCAGAGATGACACAAACAAATGGAAAAACATTCTATGCTCACGGATACAAAAAACTAGTATGATTAAAATGGCCATACAGCACAAAGCAATTTACAGATTCAATGCTATTCCTATCAAATTACCAATGATATTCTTCACAGAATTAGGAAAAACTATTTTAAAATTCATATTGAATTCATATTCAAAAAAGAGCCTGGGCCAGGTATGGTGGCTCATGCCTGTAATCTCAGCACTTTGGGAGGCCAAGCTGGGTGGATCACTTGAGGTCAGGAGTTCAAGACTAGCCTGGCCAACATGGCAAAACCCCATCTCTACTAAAAGTACAAAAAAAATTAGCCAGGAGTGGTGGCACAGGTCTGTAATCCCAGCTACTCGGGAGACTGAGGCAGGAGAATCATTTGAACTGGGAGGCAGAGGTTGCAGTGAGCCAAGATCGCAACACTGCACTCTAGCGTGGGCAACAGAGTGAGACTCCATCTCAAAAAAATGAAAGAAAAAAAGAGCCCAAATAGCCCAGGCAATCCTAAGCAAAAAGAACAAAGCGGGAGATATCATGTTACCCAACTTCAAACTATACTACAGGGCTACAGTAAACAAAACGGCAGAGTATTGGTACAAAAACAGACACACAGACCAACGGAACAGAATAGAGAACCCAGAAGTAATGCCACATACCTAAGAATCATCTAATCTTTGACAAAACCAGCAATGAGGAAAAGACTCCCTATTCAATAAATGGTGCTGTGATAACTGGCTAGCTATATGCAGAAGAGTGATACTGAACCCCTACCTTACAATACATACAAAATCAACTCAAGATGGATTAAATATTTAAATGTAAAACCTAGAACCATAAAATACTGGAAGATACCATTCTGAACATAGGACTTGGCAAATATTTCGCAACAAAGACACCAAAAGCAATTGCAACAAAAACAAAAATTGGCAAATGGAATCTAATTAAACTAAAGAACTTCTGCAGAGCAAATGAAACTATCAACAGAGTAAACGTGCGACCTACAAAATGGGAGAAAATATTTGCAAGCTATACATCTGACAGAGGTCTAATACCTAGAATCTACAAGAAACTTAAGCAAATTAATAAGCAAAAAAATAACCCCATTAAGAAGTGGGCAAAGGACATACATGCAGCCAATGAGCATATGAAAAAATGCTCAACATCACTAACCATTAACGAAATGCAAATCAAAATCAAAATGAGATACCATCTTACACCAGTCAGAATATTATTAAAAAGTCAAAAAATAATAGATGTTGGCGAGGTTGTGGGGAAAAGGGTATGCTTATAGACACTGCTGTGGGAATGTAAATTACTTCAGCCTCTGTGGAAAATGTGGCGAGATTCCCCAAAGAACTTAAAATTGAACTATCATTCAACCCAGCAATCTCATTATTGGGTATATACCCAAAGGAATATAAATTGTTCTGCCATAAAGACACACACATGCATATTGTATTAGTCCGTTCTTGCACAGCTATAAAGAAATACCTGAGACTGGGTAGTTTATAAAGAAAAATGGTTTAACTGGCTCGCAGTTCTGCTGCACAGGATGAAAAGGTACACAAGAAGAACAAGTTCTTCCTGTGCATGGCTGTACAGGAAGCATAGTGGCTTCTGCTTCTGCAGAGACCTCAGGAAGTTTCCAATCATGGTGTAAGGCAAAGGGGGAACAGCTGTCTTACAGGGCAGAAGCAGGAGCGAGAGAGAGAGGTTAGGGGAGGTGCTACACACTTTTAAATAAACAGATCTCACAAGAATTCACTCACTATCACACAAACAGCACTAAGGGGATGGTGCTAAACCATGCATGAGAAATCTACCCCCACGATCCAATCACTGCCCACTAGGCCCCACCTCCAACACTGGGGATTACAATTCGACATGAGATTTGGGCGGGGACACAGACCCAAACCATATCACATATGTTCACTGCAGCACTATTCACGATAGGAAAGACATGGCATCAACCTAAATACTCATCCATGGTACACTGGATAAACAAAATGTGGTACATGTACACCATGGAATACTATGCAGACATAAAAAAGAATGAGATCGTGTCCTTTGTGGCAACATAGATGGAGCTGGAGGCCATTATCCTAAGCAAACTAACACAGGAACAGTAAACCAAAGGCTGCATGTTCCCACTTACAAGTGGGAGCTAAACAATGAAAACACTTGGATACTAGGAGGGGAATAACAGACACTGGGGCCTACTTGAGGGTGGAAGGTAGGAAGACGGAGAGAATCAGAAAAAATACCCTTTGGGTACTAGGCTAATTATCTGGGTGATGAAATTATTAGTACACCAAACCCCTGTGACATGCAGTTTACCTATATAATAAACCTTCACAAGCACCCCTGAACCTAAATGTTGAAAATAAATAAATAGAAATAAAAAATAGAAAATGCTTTGGGTAAGCTAACAACACACAGGTGCCTGGTGGGAAAATCATGGTCTGGACAGAAAAGAGAGCACCTAACAGGCATGGGAGGAAAAGTCAGGAAAGATTCTTTGGAAATCTAGGAATGAGAAAGGGCAGCTGGGACATGGTGACACCAAGAGAGTAGGAGCCCCCAGACTCATCGAGGGCCTCAGCCACGAAGTGATCATGTCTGCAGCATGTGGGCAGAACTACACCTTGGCCTTGATGGAAATGGGCTCCGTGTTTGCGTTTGGGGAGAACAAGATGGGGCAGCTGGGCCTTGGCAACCTGACAGACACTATCCCCAGCCCCGCACAGATAATATACAATGGCCAGCCAATTACCAAAATGGCCTTTGGGGCTGAATTCAGTATGATAATGGACTGCAAAGGAAACCTCTATTCCTTTGGGTGCCATGAATATGGTCAGCTGGGACACAACTCGGATGGGAAGTTCATCGCCCGGGCACGGCGGACAGAGTACAACTACAGACTGGTTCCCCATTGAGTGACCATCTTCATTGAGGCAGATCCTGCCTGTACCAAATGTAGCTGTGTGAGACGTAGCCTGTGGCGCTAACCACACACTGGTCCTGGACTCCCAGAAGTGAGTCTTCTCCTGGGGCTTCAGTGGCTATGGCCGGCTGGGCCACGCAGAGCAGGATGAGATGGTCCCCCACCTGGTGAAGCTGTTTGACTTCCCTGGACATCGGGTGTCCCAGATCTATACTGGTTACACCTGCTCCTTTGCCATCAGTGAAGTGGGTGGTCTGTTTTTCCAGGGGGCCACCAACACCTCCCGTGAATCTACCACATACCCAAAAGCAGTGCAGGACCTCTGTGGCTGGATAATCCAGAGCCTGGCTTGTGGGAAGAGCAGCATCATTGTGGCCACCGAGAGAGCACCATAGCTGGGGCCCATCACCGACCTTCGGGGAACTGGGCTAAGGGACCACAAGCCCAAGTCTTCCACTGCAGCCCAGGAGGTGAAGACTCTGGATGGCATTTTCTCAGAGGTCACCATGGGCTACTCACACTCTTTGGTGACACCAAGAGACAAAAGTGAGACCGAGAAAGAGAAGATCAAGAAACTACCAGAATACAACCGCCAAACCCTTTGATGCTCCCAGAGACTTCTCCGACTCTACACCTCTCGTGGCAGCTGTCACTTCCATGTGCACTGGGATGGGAAGTCAAACGAGGTATTTAAAAAAGCAAAAGCTGACCTAAGGTGCATTTTTGTTTAGACTCCATAAGATTCCATTTTACAAGTGATCCAATATTTACCTTTTGTTCTGTATGCTTTCCAAAGTACGTTTTTTTCCCTTTAATGTCGAATTAAAATACTTGCTGATAGTTGACTTACCATTCCTACAAGAGGCAGAAACTTTCAGCAATCTAGGTTTTTTTTTAAGTTTTTTCTTTCTTCCTCTCCTGAATACACTCCCCAAAACACCCCTTTCCAGTTATGATTACCATCATGATCCAAGCAGATGCTACATAGAAGAGGAATCGCCATTTAATCAGAAAAAATGTCCCTTACAGGAACCAGCAGCAGCCAGGCAAAGTCACCGGCCTGCTTCCATCCAAAACCACGCTCACATGCTTTGGAAGCATCCGGGTCCTCCTTTCCTGCTTTTTCTTGCAGATTGGCCTAAGCCGGTGTTGGTTCTGTTTCTCCCCTTGGCTGCCTATAATCTGCAGTGTCCCCCTGGAGGGGGATTGGGAGTCTGTGTTTAGCCATTTATATCTACTTTAGCTGTTAAAGAAGTCCAAATGAAAATCAGGTGATGGTGGAACCATGGGGACTTGGGGGTGGGGCAGAGGTGGTTCCCTGTGGAGCCAGGGCTGAGCCTTGTCACATGCACTCACCAATTAGAGATTGATCAGCCAGCAGTCAAGTGCATTCTCCAGTCCTTGCAAGAAGGATCAGCCCTTTCTGTACCAGCCTTGATCACCTTGTGCTTTGGTCTCCTTTTTTCCCCTACCTGGATCCTGCGTCGCACAGGCCGTCCTGTTACTGAGACTCGGGGTACCGTTCTGCTGACTCAGCTCTCTTTAGTCACGTTTGCTTGGCTCTGGTACCAAATATTTGAGATTACCAAAGAATGTCCTTCCTTGCGTGTCAGCACGGATGCTGTGACTGCCACCAGTGTCCCCGTCAAGTGCCTGTGCCCGAGCTCGCTGTGCTGAGTGAGTAATGAGGTGCCTTTCCTGGAACCCTCCTCTCACCTGGACCCAAGAGAGGCGACAGCTCTGGCTAGGGCTCTTGGTTTCCAGAGGGTCTGGACTGGTTTGGGTGCTTTAAAATAGATATTTAATTCAGTGGTGCTTATGGGGGAGATGAGAATAGAACTTAAATGTGAGAACTGGGTAGATGGGAAAGTTAAATATTGGTCTCTTCAAGTTTTTTTGTTGTTGTTGTTTGCATTTGCTATTGTTACCACTTGTCACTGTCTCCATGTTAAAATGCCAAAAATGATCTAGTTGTTGTTGCTTTTTTCTCTATTTTCCACCCCAGTCACTCCTTACCGTGACTCCCGCCCTTGGAGGGCACGTAGCAGTGTCTGTCCCGCCAGTCCCAAGGCCCTATGGGAGGAAGCTGGCCTGCATCTCTCTAAGACTTAAGTCTTAGAGATGCCACGTGCATCTCGTGTTCTGTGTTCAATCAGTAGTCCAGGGGAGAAGCTTCTGCCACTTCAGAGCTTTGCTAAACTAACCTAATTTGTCCAAATCACCCCAAAACCACCATCTCTAACTCAAACTTCCAGGAGACAGCCTGATCCGTTTGCCTGGACAGGTCTCTTTCCTGGAACGCAACCCAGGCATCTGTGCTCCTGGAATCCTTGACGTCTCTCCTTTGAGTTGTGGTCACCCAGAGGGTTGAGGACGCAGCACCCGAAGTCCTAGCCTTTGCAGGAGCCGCCCTGGGCGGAGCTGCACTTAGATCTTCCGGCAGCCTCATGTAAACCTGGCAGCCAGCCTCTTCTAGAACCCTAGCCAGGGAGTGGAGCAGGAAAGGGACCTTCGAAGTGAAGACTGCCTTGTCCCGCACCTCCCTTTGGCTTAAATTAAAAAATGAACTTCCGAATGGGTTAAATCCTTTAAAACAAGGAGTTGTGGGGAAGGTCGTCTTGTACTCCTAGAGAAAGGTACACAGTTGCCCAGCTGGGAACGTGCTTGGTGCTGACCCCGTGGGCATCTGACTGGTCTTCCAGCTCAGGACAAAGAATTTGAAAGATGATTAGCATGAAGGGGAATCAAAGAGAAGGTTGTGATTTGGTTGAAGGTGCCTGGTTTAGTGCTGTAATTGTATTATTTCATATATTTATATATATATATATATATATATATGCATGTATGTATGTATGTATGTGTATATATGTGTGTGTATATATATATTTCTTAGAGTAAACATTTTAAATAAATGATATAATTGTCTAGAAAACAAAAAAATTATAAATCTATATTATTGGGACACAATGTATAAAAATATAATTTGTGACGATAACATAAATAGGGGAGCAGAGCTATATAGAAGCAGAGTTAGTTGTTTTTAGCTTTATTCTCTGTGGTAAAATATAAATAAAATATGCCATTTTTAACCATTGTAAAGCATACAATTTCAGCATTATGTACATCCAAAATGCTGAGTAACTACCACCACTATCCATTTCTAAAACTTTTGCATCATCCCACACAAAAGCTCTTTACTGGTTAAACCATAATTCCTCAACTTCCTCTCCCATAGCCTCTGGTAACTTCTATTCTACTTTCTGTCTCCATGAATTGGCAGAGATTTTAAGTTAAACTGATATCAATTCCACTGGATTGTTAGAAATTTTGGATGTTAACTGTAATCCCCATTGTAACCACAAAGAAAGTATCTGAAGAATATACGCTAAAAGAAATGAGGCTGAGTGTGGTACTTCATGCTTGTAAGCCCAGCACTTCGGGAGGCCAAGGCAAGAGGATCACTTGAGGCCAGGAGTTCAAGACTAGCCTGGACAACATAACAAGACCCCATCTTTAAAAAAATACAAACAAATAAACAAACAAAAACAATAGTTGGGCATGGTGGCAACCACCTATAGGCCTAGGTACTTAGGAGGCTGAGGCAGGCTTGTGTGAGCCCAGAAGTTTGAGATTACAGTGAGCTATGATCATGCCACTGTACTGCAGCCTGGACAACAGAGCACAACCTTGTTGAAAGAGGAGGGGGAGGGAGAAGAGGGGGAAAAAGGGGAGAAGAGGGGGAAAAAGGGAGAAGAGGGAAAGGGAGGGGAGGGGAAGGAAAGGAAGGAGAGGGAAAAAGGAAAGGAAAAGGGAAAAGAAAAAGGAGAAAGATGAAAGGGGAAAGGAAGAAGCAGAAAGGAAAGGAAAGGAAGACAGCAGAAGGGAATCAAATCAGTTAACTACATTAGAAAAATCAACTACATACAAAAGAAGGCAGAAATGAAGGACTGAGGGACAATAAAAGCTATACAAATAGCAAAAATGGCAAAAGTCCTTCCTTCTCAATAATTACTTTAAATGTAAATGTATTAAACACTCCAATCAAAAGGCAGAGATTGGCAGAATGGATACATAAACTGTCTACAAGAAAATTACATTAGATCCAAAGGCACATAGGTTGGAACTGAAAGTATGCAAAATAACTAAAAGAGCTGGGTGGCTATAATAATATGCAAAATAAAGTAGACTTTAAGTACAAAATAGTCACAAGAAACAAAAAAGGATATACGTTAATAAAAGGGTCAATTCATCAAGAAGATATATCAAGTATAAATATACATGCACTGAAAAACAGAGCTCCAAAGTATAGGAAGCAAACGTTCATAAAATAAAAGGGACAAATAGTTCTAAAAGTTCAAGATTTCAATACCCTATTCTCAATAATAAACACAACAATTTGACAGATTAATAAGAAAACAGAGGACTTGAACAATACTATAAACCAATGAGACTTAATAGACATATGTAGAACACTCCCCATAGACCATATATTGGGCACAAAACAAGCTTCAACAAATTTAGAAGACAGAAATCATAAGAAGTATCTTCTCCAACCACAATGGAATGAAGGTAGAAATCAATGAGAAAGAAAACTGAAAAATTCACAAATATTGTGGAAATCACATACTCAACAACCAATTTATCAAAGAAGAAAACAGAAAAGGAAATTAGGATATAACTTGAAATGGATGAAAACAAAAACACAACATACCAAAACTTACGGGATAGAAGGAAAGCAGTGCTCAAGGGGAAATTTACAGCATACATCTTTACATTACAAGAAAGATCTCAAACTAATAACCTAAGTTTATAACTTAAAGAACTAGAAAAAGAGTAAACTAAACCCAAAGCTGGCAAAAGGAAGGAAATAATAAAGATTATTAGAGTGGAGATAAATGAAGCAGAGAATAGAAAAACAAAAGATAATCAATGAAGTCAAAAGTTGGTTCTTTTAAAAGATCAACAAAATTGACAAGCCTTTAGCAAGACTGACAAAGAAAAAGATAGCAAATACAAATACCTAAAATAAGAAATAAAAATAGGAACATTACTAATGACTCTACAGAAATAAAAAGGACATAAGGAGCATTATAAACAAATATATGCCAACAAATTGGATAACCTGGACGAAAAAGACTAATTCTTAGAAACACACAAATTACCTAAACTAACTCAAGAATAAATAGAACATTTCAAAAGACTTTAACAAGAGTAATCAAAGTCAGTAATCAAAAACCTCCCAACAAGGAAAAGTCCAGAACCAGATGGCTTCAGTAGTGAATTCTACCAAACATTTAAAGAAGAATTAACAGGACTGGGTGCGGTGGCTCACACTTGTAATCCCAGCCCTTTAGGAGGCCAAGGCAGGAGAATCACTTAAAGCCAATAGTTTGAGACCAGACTGGTCAACATAGCAAGACCCTGTCCCTATTAAAAAATAAAAAAATTAGCCAGGCATGGTGGTGCATGCCTATAGTCCCAGATACTTGGGAAACTGAGGAAGGAGGACTGCTTGAGCCCAGCCATTGGAGGCTGGAGTTAGCTATGATGTGCAGAATGTGAGCTTGATTGGAAATAGATAATTACATTCTTTACAGATGTAATTAGTTAAAATGAAGTTATACTGTATTATGGTGGGCCCTAAATGTCATATAATTGGTGTCCTTTGAAGAGGAAAATCTGGACACAGAGACAGACACAGAGGGAAGAATGCCATGTGAAGATGGAGACAGAGACAAAGATGTGGAGAAGCTGGACCTCTCATCTCCAAGATGTGGAGAAACTGGTAAGAATGTAAAATGGTGCAGCTGCTATAGAAAACAGTAAGGCAGTTCCTTAAAATATTAAAAACAAAATTAATCCATGATCCAACAATTTTACTTATGGGGGTGTGTGCGTATATATATATTGGCAAGGCACAGTGGCTCATGCCTATAATCCTAACGCTTTGGGAGGCCAAGGCAGGAGGATCGCTTGCCAGGAGGTTGAGACCAGCCTGGGCAACACAGCAAGATCCTCTCTCTACAAATTATTTTTTATTAGATGGGCATGGTGGTGCACAGCTGTAGTCCCAGCTACTCAGGAGGCTGAGGCAGGAGGATCACTTGAGCACAGGAGTTTGAGGTTACAGTGAGCTATGATTGTGCCACTGCACCCCAGCCTGGGTGACAGGGCAAGACCTGCCTCCAAATGAGAAAAAAAAAAGAATTGAAAGCAGGGTCTTGAAGAGATATTTGCACTCTCTTGTTCACAGCAGCATTACTCACAATAGCCAAAAGGTAGAAACAACTCAAGTGCCCATCAACAGATGAATAAATGTGGCCTATCCATACAATGGACTATTGTTTAGCTTTAAAAAGGAAAGAAATTCTGACACATGCTATAACACGGATAAACCTTGAAGGTATTATGTTAAGTGAAATAAGCCAGTTACAAAAGGACAAATACTGTTATGATTCCACTTATATAAGGTCCCTAGAGTAGTGAAATTCATAGAGACAGAGTAGAATGGAGTAGTTGACAGGACCAAAGATATGGGAAAGGGGGAATTTTTGTTTGATGGGTACAGTTTCAGTTTGGAATGATGAAAAAGTTCCGGAAAAGGAGAGTGGTGATGGTTGCACAACATTGTGACTATAATTAAAGCCAATGAATTGTATACTTAAAAATGACTTAAATGGCAAATTTTATTTTATATATATTTTACCACAATAGAAGAACTGAAAAAACAAATCAAGAATCATCAATGGGCAGAAAATTGTTGGACGAAAGGCTGGAAACAGGATATCCCACACACTTGCAAAGCATCACCCCACAGATTACTTACTAATTTCAAAAAGGAACAGGTACCTGATATAGTTTGGGTATTTGTCCCCACCCAAATCTCATGTTGAAATGTAATCCCCAGTGTTGGAGGTGGGGCCTGATGGGAGGTGTTTAGGTCATGGGGCAGATCCTTCATGGCTTGGTGCTGTCCTCACCACAGTGAGCAAGTTTTCAAGAGATCTAGTTGTTTTAAGTATGTGGCACCTCCCCAGTCCTTGCTCCTGTTCTCACCATGTGAGACGCCTATTCCCCCTTTGCCTTCCCACCATGAGTAAAAGCTCCCTGAGGCCTCTCCAAAAGCGAGCAGATGCTAGTGCCATGCTTCCTGTACAGCCTTCAGAAACCTAAGCCAATTAAACCTCTTCTTTATAAACTACCCAGCCTCAGATATTTCTTCACAGTAATGCAAGAACAGACTAACAGTACCTTTACCATAGCAAAATGTGGTATAAACCACCTTAACCAAGTAATCAAATTTAATGGTGCCAAGAGCGACAGGAGCTGCCATCATGTATCTCCTGATATAATACAGTGAGGAGAGCAAAAAATCACCCGGTAGCGCCTATTTGACCAAACCATTTAACCTGAACCTCATCATGAGGAAAAGATCAGAAAAATCCAAGTGGTTTTATAGAGACAGTGTAGCTGGGTTCTTCAATATCAATGTCATAAAAGACTAAATAAGGCCTGGGAAAACTCTTCTACTAGATTAAAGCACACAAGAGACACAGCAACTATAAGAAATGCATGTCCTTGACTGAATCTTGGAATTTCAAATGACCACTACAAAAGACTTGATTGGGACAAGGAAAACTGAATGTAGCCTATGTATGAGGTAGAAAGTACAATCATCTTATTGTGGTGAGACAGGAGAATGTTCTTGTTCTTAAGGAGATGAGATGCATATTCAGGTATTTATGGATGAAATTACAATATCTCCAAGTAACTCTTACATGACTCAATAACAATACAGGTAGAGTGAGGCCTGAAGAACACTCTGGCTTTGGAAGGCAGGAAAGCATCTGAGTAAATCATTTCAGAAGAGTAGTAGGGCTAACCACTGGATTACAAGAACACCACAAATGAACAGGCAATGAGAGATAAGAGCTGCTGGTAGAAAGTGGCAGGGCTGCAGGAGGCCGCAGGGCTGGACTGGCGAGAACAGGCAGACCTGACCACGCTGGTGAGCTGACAGCAAGAGGTAGCAGAGAATGAGAAAGCACACAGGGCCCACAGATGCGATCCAAAGCAGAGCACAAAAAGTGAAGACTTATTCCAGGAAGGGTACTGACCATTTACTCTTTATTGAACACCAGTCAAAAGGAAATGAGCTTCTATTACAACATAAGTGACGCAGGGTAGACAGAAAGGGTGGCTTTCTAAAAGAACACATTCTGGAGGTAATGAGAGAGGAGGACACAGGGCGGTCTCAGACCCATCCCTCCTACAAGTGACCTGGCAAAGGAAAGTCTTACTGGCTCCATTCGTCCTCCTCCTATAGTTCAAAGACTGCACACATCTCCTTGCTCACCTACAAACTTGAGAGTGGCTTGAGAATTAAAGCCAATTGCTAAAAATGGGACAGCAAATAACTGGCTTAATAGACACAAAACCCATTATCTTAAGTTAAAAGAACAAAAGTCAGCCGCTTAGTGAGATCCCACATGCATCCCATGAAATCACTTTTACCAAAACATCCATTTTCCCAACTCATCTTCCTCACAAGAAGAAAGCAATCATCCTCTACCGTGTCTACCTTCAGATTGAAAGAATGGCCAAAAAGACACAGTGTAACATGCTTTGATTTGCTGTGAGAAATGAGATGTAGTTCAACACCACTGTGATTTGTAATGCCATTTACATAATTAAACATACAGACAAGTGGCATGAGGAGGTGGATATGGTTAATGGAGTTGCAGAAGAGCTAAAAATAGCAGACACAGCTACAGGCTGGAAGGGACGCTGAGGGCAGCACCTGCTGATGGGCGCTGATGGCCACAGAAAGATTGTCAATACACCAGAAGCATCTTCTCTATTTAGCTGGGGCCTTTTAATCAAGATTTCAAAGCTCCCCACAGACATGGAGCAGCTGGCAGTGGCCTGTTTCACAGATGCAAACTGAAGGTTATCATCGGGCCACAGAGGGCTTGCCCAAGAGTTCATCTGGTCCCAAATTCCAGCTCAAAAACTTACCAAAAACCTGCCTTCCACTAAAAGACCTGAGAGTGGGTTCATCCAAACCAGTTTATAATCTGGTAGGGCACTGGGCCACATTGAGCTTTCAGATTTGTTTTGTTTATACCATACCAGTTTCTTCCTTTTCTTCCTCTTTCTCCTCCCTCTTCTTTTTTAAAGTCTGAATTAGTTGCTGACACCCAAAAATTCACAAAGATACCCCTGTCGGCAGCTGGGCACCCCTGGGCTCATACTCCCAGAGCTCTGTGGTACGTAGGTGCTCACCAATCCCTGCTGTGTTTTCTTACAATTTCTTACTCGCTTCTGTGGCCTACTTGTCCAGAAGGTATTAAGTTTGCTTAACATCAGTTTTCTTAAAACTGGCTTAGATTTCTAACCTGTACCACCTCATGGTACCTACCTCAAGATATCTATGCACTAAGCAAAAGTGGTGTGTCCTATTCTTCAATCTTTGCAAAATGCCTCCTGGCACTAGTTTGAGCTTGCTGCGGAAGTCTGTGTTCACTTTCTCTACTTTCCCAATGATCTATACACCATAAACAAAGCCCTTTACTTTCAAAGTTGTCTTTCCAGAGCAATATTTTCCCTTTTCCTTTTGAGCCCCCCTGCCCCACCACCACCTCATCACTGCTTTAGTGTTGTTAAGGACTTTTCCCTAGACTTCTTCCAGATAGGGTGACAAAGTCCCCAAGTACAGGGTCAGTTTCCCTTACCTGAAATGCATGAGACCAAAGTGTTTCAGACTTTGAATTTTTTGTGATTTTTGAATATTTGCACTATACTTAGGTTGAACATCCCATATCTGAAAACCCAAAATCCAAAATGCTCCAATGAGCATTTCCTTTGAGTGTCATGTCAGCACTTGCAAAGTTTTGAATTTGGGAGCATTCTAGACTGCAGATTTTTAGATTTAGGAGGCTCAACCTACACAACCTGCGATTTTATCAAGAAAAACAAATACGCGTGTGGTTGTTCAGGCTTTCTTCCCTATGCTAAAAAAGAAAGGAGGAAGAGGTAGAAATCTGTAATACCACCAGTTGATTTACAAGTGCACAAGGATACAGGTGAAAACAAACATACATGATGTGATTCTTGCCTTAATTAACAAGACACAAGTGGATAACCAGACTAAGGTTAACCACTCATACTTACCACTGACCTATTATCTACTTGTTTACTATCTCTCCATCCTTACATTCCATACAACTAGTATGCAAGTGCTAAAGGGTAAGAGCTTTGTTCTGTTCTGCTGTATCCCCAATGCCTGGAACAGAGCATGGTGCACAGAATCTTCAATAAATACCTGTTGAGTGAATAGGTAAATGAATGATTTCCCATTTAGTTCTCATGCCCTGTGAGGCTGCTTGATACTACAACTGAGGAAACTGCGGCCACAGAGTGTTTATAATTTGCTCAAGGTTATCCAGGACCACCAGCCTATGGTGTGGGTATGACAGAGTAGGGAGACCCGGATTTATAAAGGGAGGCAATCCTGAAAAACACTGGTGAGCTACACATTCCACTTCCCCCCTGCCTTACAGCATATGGCATGTACATCAGAATGGAAAAAGCTCTCCATGGTCCAGCTGGGGTGAGAAACAAGTGGACACCCTCCCTTCAGGAGGCCAGGCTCTCCAGCAGCCTGTGGCTCCCCAGGCAGCTCTATTGGAGACAAAGGAGAAGCGTTTTAATAATGTTCATCTTTCTCCTTTTACAAAAACTATTGATTCTCAATAGTGGGTGTATTTAACAGAATCACCCAAGAGGCTTCTGCCATCTCTATTTCCTCTCTCTACCTTCCCCAGCCCCAGATTCTAAGCTATGGGTCCGAGGTAGGGGTGGGCAGAGGGGTTGGTGAAGAATCACGACCACAGTGGGAAACTCGGTCCTGTGTTCCAGCTGCAATGTCCATCAGGCTCTCTAGCACCAGTACCTACAGACAGACCAGCTGCTGCAACAGGGATTCTCTCCGAGCCCTGCACAGACCCACTGCACGGCCCTGGACAGTTTACTAACCTCCCAGAGCCTCACAGTCATCTGCAAAAAGGGTCAACACTGCCCCTACCTAAAGGGGCACTGTGAGAATCAAATGAGAAAACCTACTCAAAGCACCTGATCCAGGACCAGGCATAAGGAATGTCTGTGTCTACACACACACACACACACACACACACACACATGCACACACAGATGTACACACACACATAGACAACAGTGCCACCAACACCTGGATATTTCACAATAAGAAGGTAGAAGCCTTGACTTCATTCCCATCTCATACATTTAATGACCACAAATTTTGATATATTGAGTTTATGAATAAAAGGGGAGCTACTGGTATCTTTTTTTAGACTAATAGAATGTTCTATTTTTTTAAGTCACACAAATATATCTGCATTTAATGAGACAGTTGTGCCTACCTGTCAGGCCTAAATAATCGGGCTGCCAAAAAGAGAGCTACAGTGACTAAAATACAGATATATTGCAGACTCTCTGGGAAGCCTGGTGAAATGACAGGATTTCAAGAAACAGTGTGGAAGACACTTCCTCATACCTGCTGTGCTGCAGAGCCTCAGAGATGACCCTCCAGCCAGGGATGTTACCCAGAGCCCCAAGACACATGCCCAGGGACTTGCAGATGTGGGCATTCGCTTGGGTTCTTGGACAGGCCACCTAGCCTCACCCTGGGCCTTGGGCTGCCCTATACAGTGACAGGGCTGAGCTAGATGGACACAGAAACCTCAAAAACCCATTCCCAGCTGTTGATCCCTCCTGGTACCTCTCCTCCCGACTGAAGACAGAGCTGCTGCCTGCCATCCAGGACAGGTCCTGAAGAGAGTTCTCAACTCTGATTTCTTTGAACCCTTCTCCCTCCTCATGTTCTTGGCTGGCACTGCTTATGCCCAATCCACTTTCCTCTGCCCTCGCTAGAGCCAGAACACAGCTGGCCTCCTCTTTTCCAGGCCATCGTTCTTCAGGTACTCGAGGAGCTTGGATTCTCTCCACACTCCCCACTTCATCAGGATTTTAGAATATGACAACTCATTGCCCCCAATGGGAAGATGCCAGACCCAGGAGACTGGCAGCAGCCACACTCCCTCCTTGCAGCCACTGCCCTTCCTGCCCATCAGCTTCTTAGCCTGGAGACGTTCTGAGAGACAGCCTCCCAAAGGCCAAAGCACCAAAGGTGCCTACCATTTCATCTCCAGGGCTCCTAAACAGGTCCTGCTAGAAAAGGTGGCAAGTGGATTCGATGGGGACTAAAAACAAAATTCATCTGGAGGGACGTGATCCCTAAGGAGAGAGACATCAGGGTTCCTAGCAGCAGTTACACTGGCAAAAATCAATCTCCCCTGAAAACCAATTAGGAGCACACAGGATTTTCACTTCGGAAGCCGAGCTGTTAGAGGCAGCCTGCTTTGGAGAGGAAAAGAAAGAATGTTCCTGGACATGCTCGCCTCCTTACCCCAGCTTGCTCCTCTGCCAATAGCCGGTACCTTAGAAAGAGCTCAGCCACAAAGGGTGCCACTGGGTGTTCTGGCACAGATGTCCACAGGGAGATTTGCATGATCCCAAAGGGCTAGGTACATGGCTTAGGGGCTGAAGGGCAGTATATGCTGACAGAGCCAGCTGCTGGCACCATCTCTTGGAAGGAATGATTGCTTTCTAGGACCTATGGCAGGTGAAGCACTGAGCTAGGCACTCTGAAGATGTTTACACTTGATCCTTGCAACAACCCTGTGAAGTCAATATTGCTGTCCCTGTATTACGGATGGGGAAAGTGATGCCCAGAGACACTTAACCAAGGCCACACAACTTGTTTCAGTAACACAGATGAGATTCTTTTAACCTTTTCTACTACCTGCTACCTTCTCTCAAGGCAGTTCAGACTGTGATCCAAAGAACTGCAGCTCTAACTGCTATGACTATTTTATGGACTAATGTGGACAAACCAGAGATTACAGATCAGGGTAACAGGGATGTCAATGCTGCTGGGACTCTAAGGAAGCATGTGAATAATTCTAACAGGATCCCCCGCCTCCACATGGAATTTATACACCACCTTCCCAATAAACACTCAAGCCTGGCAATCCCTTTCCTCTCCACCCCTCTCAGGAAAAGCAGGTACTGCTGAGCTTCTCCAGGCCACGTGCTGGTACCTCTCAGGTAGTACTACTTCCAGCAAGGCTCAGCATGTGCCCACCACAGCCCTTGGTGCCCACTGCCACCCAGACTCGTGCTGGAGCACTGCAGCCCAGAGAGCAGGAAGAACCAAACCCGTGGGCCCTCTCTTCACCCACTGCTGCAGAAAGGCAGCCCACGAAACTCTGGGCAATGCGCCTGTACACCAGAGAGAGAGACAGGGGCAAGGGCAGATGAAGAGAAGCAAGAAGAGAGGCAGGACACTGATCTTTATCTGGGAAGAGAATGCTAGCCAAGGTCCCAATAAGGTTGAGACAAACTCTCTGCTGATGCCACTTCTACAGAGGCCCCGTCCAATGTTTACAGAGAACTCCACCCCAAGGCCGGTCTACAAGCCGCAGCTATGGCAGGCATGCAGGCGGGCTGCAGCATGCTCCTGGAATGTCTTTGGAATGATCTGCACCCAGCTACGAGTGCCTCAGTGCCCCTCCTCCTCAGCCTCCAGGTGGGCAAAAGGACGGCACAGCTCCTGCTGCCGAACCTTGACTTCTTCACAGAAACAAGCAAGCATGACCATATCCAGATGCCAACTTGAGGTTCCTTCATGCAACGGCTGCTTGCCATGGGAAGTCCAAGCCACTGATATGTTAGCTGTTTGCTCCATGTGCCTTCCCTGGGCCCTGAAAAAATCCCCTTGGCTGCCAAAATCGTGTGACAGTCCATCCGCCCCCAAGAAAGTCAGAATCTGCTTGTTTTACAAAAAGCAGCCAAGGAAAAGGCGCTTGAAGGGTGCCACCAGCTACCAAGAGAAGGACTAGTGCAAGGAATCCTCCTATCCCCCGCCCCTCTGCCAGCTGGGGAAGCAGTCCACAGACACAGTTCTTAATTTGGCCTTAACCTCGGGTACCTGGCAATGACAAACAATGTGACTTACGAGGTCTAGGAACAAAGTAGCTGGGGTTGAGGAGTCAATGCCCCAGCCCAGCCCATCATAAAACCCCAATATTTCTCCTTCCTCATCTAATCCCAACTGCTCCTTCTTTACATTTTTCTGGATCCAAGCCAAGCCATCAGTAACTTTCTGGATGAGGAGGAGAACAGGGTGAGAGAAAAGCGGGCCCTTCCTCAGCAAGCCGCGCTAAAGGGGCAGGGAGAACGAACGGGATGCTAAGTCCCCACAGGGCAGTACAAACCTGGTCAACCTGTCCCCCAGGGCAGCCACAACAAAGGGAGGTCAGATAACACTAAAAAGCCAGGTCTCCCAACAAAAAGAGGGCAGGAGATGAAAGATCAGGCCTTGGGTAGAGGGCCTTTCAGCCTCCTCAGCTAGATTTAATCAGTCTCAAAGCTACCAGGTTACAGGCCCTCAGAGGATGACATCGGGGGAAGGGGCCTTCTCCCCACCCTGCCCAAGGCCTTCTCCCAGCACGCCTGTTCTTCCAGCCAACAAGTGGCCCAGGCCTGCCACCTAGTGGGCTCCGCTCACACACCACAGGAAGAGACCGGATCCCAGAAGAGGGGCTGCTGTGACCAGAGTCCTGCCAACAGTTCCAGGACTTCATTCACAAGGCACAGTGGGGTTCTCTCTGGCTGTGGCAACAACCAAAACTGCTGGAGAAAACCGTTTCCCAGGGACCAGTGACAAATGAAAAATAGGAAGGAGTGAGCTGCATTCTCAGAGCCTGGCCTTCTTCCCCACCTTTTCTAAGCCCAAACAGCTCCTGCACCCAGAGCCTGTCCCCAGTGAAGCACAGGATATGCGTGGGACAGGAATGCCAATTTCAAAATGCTAGTCCTAGAGTGCCCCTACTCACACACACAGGTTCTAAGCTCTGGCCTCATCCTAAGACTCTGGCCTAAAAGCTGTGATTTTTAAACGGCCATTAGATGAGTGAATTTTACTATGCATGAGGCCGTGTCCCAGAGGTGGACAGGGTACAAGGCTTTGGAGGGGCATAACTGGTAAACCTCAGAGGGCAGTACAGGCACATTCCATGTGCTGTGCACCTGGTGCTGCTCTAAGCTTGTCCCTTATCTCAAGAAGTCTTATGACTATCCAGGGAGGAGGCAGGATCACCAGCAGGGACAACAGAGGATTCAGTGCCCTGCTCAGGGAGCACAACTGGGAAGCAGGATTCGACCCCAGGCAACCCGGCTCCTGAATTCACACCATGCTGCGGCAGCCTCCAATCCTAGCTGCTAGACATAACAAAAGAAGAATAAATAAAAAACTCACACTCTAAAACCCTAAAAACCCAGGTCTGCTCTGGCTAGAGGGCCCCAGCAAAGGAGCAGAATCTGGGCTACCCTAGAGGATAAGATAAAAATCAAGTTAGGGCAATGCAGGCGCTTTTTTTTTTTTTTTTTTTTTGAGACAGGGTCTCACTCTGTCACCTAGGCTAGAGTGCAGTGTGACATGATCTCGGCTCACTGCAACCTCGACCTCCAAGGCTCAAGCAATTCTCGTGCCTCAGCTTCCCCAGTAGCTGGGACCACAGGTGTACACCATCACGCCTGGCTAATTTTTGTATTTTTTGTAGAGACAGGGTTTTGCCATGTTGCCCAGGCTGGTCTCGAACTTCTGGCCTCAAGCAATCGGCCCACCTCTGCCTCCCAAAGTGCTGGAATTACAGGCATGAGCTACCACACATGGTGGCAAATTCTTATTAGTGAGAAAAAGAACTGCCTTCAAAGAAGTGCAACCAGAGGCCCAGAGAAAAAAAAAAAATAACAGTCCCCCAGAGGCCCGGCAAGGCCTGAACACAAAAGAAAAACATACATTCCTTTTCAGCCCTACCGGTGGTGACTCCAGGGAAAGCCAGAGAGCAAGAAAGATGAGAAGCCTTAGACCACCGTTCCTCTCCCTCCTACCCTTCCAGATCCTCAAGAGGTCAAGATGTTGTGCTGGGGTCAGCACGGGGCACCAACTGCCCTTGCTCAGCTGTGCCTTCTTGTGGAGACAGCAAAGGCAGGGCCCATAGCCATGATGTCAGTTCCTGGAGGAATTTCATCGATTCCTCATTAGCATGGGAGAACTGCCTGCCCACCTGTTAGAAAAACTTTCCATTTATGGTGACAGATGGGGCAGTGTTAATGGGCTGGCTTTAACTGGGAAACAAGGAAGTTCAGGCTCATTGCAAAAGGAATTAGCATTAAAGCTAGGTGGGTCTGCTCATTTACAGGGAGGCTTGGGAGAAAGCTCTGGGAACTTGCCTCACATGCTAGGGGTATCCAGGCACTCAAGACTCAGGCCTAGAGGCAGCCATGCCCAACCAAGGCCTGCCCCTAGCAGACCCTCTAGCACCAAAGGCCACGCTGGCTTGACCTCCATCTCAGTCCTTATCCTGAAGCAATTCCCAGGAGGGAGTCGCCAACTCTGGAGCACTTCTCTCCGATTCTGTCTGATCTGGTAGAAAACACTGCCCCCATCTGAGGTCTGGCCAGGGCCATACTTTGGACAGCCAGCCAGGGGAAGAGCTGTCTGCTTTGCCATGGGTGGCATCTTAACAGATCATCTTCCAAACAGAGACATGCACATCTGGGGTCTCAGTGGAAGCCCTGAGGTCAGCTGCCTGGAAGGCCAGATGAGCACTAGGAGAAAATAGTCAAAGACGACTCTGTGGGATATTCCCTGCTTGGTCCCCAGAAGCAACCCCCATGAATGTCTGGGCAGAATTG
This sequence comes from Homo sapiens, assembly GCF_000001405.40. Lineage (NCBI taxonomy): Eukaryota > Metazoa > Chordata > Mammalia > Primates > Hominidae > Homo > Homo sapiens. The sequence goes on along the minus strand of NC_000003.12, from coordinate 126,750,196 downwards.
ACAGCATTGTGCCTTCTCGAGGACCCCTCCACTGCTAACTATGGAGAACTGAGCAGCTATCCCAATTGCGCAATGTTTTGTAAATGATTCAAGCCCAGGTATGGAGAGAAGACAGGTTCTGTACTGGATGTCCTCAGTTTGAGGTCCCTGAAGGCACCAGGAAAGGTGTGGCCAACCAGCATCTAGAGAACAGAGGTCCTGAACAGACGTCGGGCCAAGGTGGATGTGGGTGTTTTCAAGAGGTAATGAGGAGGCAACAAACAACAGTGGTGGATTTCCAATTGTCCCCCCATAGCCATTCTTTGGTATGGAGCTTTGGCTGGGCATCCAGCTACACTGTCTAGACATTTCCTAAACAACCTGTCACTAGCAGTGGTCATGTGACTATCTTCTGGCCAACAGGGTATGTCCAGAAATGATGGAGCCCAGTTCTGGTCTTGCCCATAAAAGAGCCAAACGGGAATGCACTCACATGGCCCGTGTCCCCTTCGCACTGGTCAGGAACTGAAGAGAAATGGAGCAAACAGTTTGCACCCAAGGCTGCTGAGGCTGGCAGAGCTCCCACCAGTCTTGGACTACCTTTAGACAGTTCCATGAAAGAGAAACATGTCTTTCTTATTTATGCTACTGTATCTGGGGGCCTCTCTGCTACAGCAGCTCAATCTAGACCATAACTGATAGAAGGACCCAGAGGTAGGGAGGCCAGAGAGGAGTCTAGGCATCTCCTTGTCAAAAAAGGGCATCTGGCTCAGGCCAGAAACCCAAGAGTCATTCTCAACACCTCCTTCTTTCTCACCCCACAGCCCCCATCCTCACCAAATGTGTCATTTCTTTCTCCACATAATTCTTCCCCCAGATACTGTCACTGTCCTTTGTCTGGGTCACCATGATCTCTCTGAAGGGCCCTTGGGAGTCCTGTTGATTCCCCTGCCTCTGCTCTTGCCCACTCTGCCATCTTCCCCAGAATCTCTATGAAAACCTTTCACATGCTCCCTGCTGCTTCTCAAACCCAGTTTCCTGCCATGCCCATGAGTCCCCACCCACTGTTCACACCCTTCTTGCTGGCAGCTGCATTCACTCACTGAACTCTCTACCACCCAGGCCGGGGCACACTCCCCACAAACTGCAGAGCTCCCCCTCCTCATTCTTTGTCTCCTTCCCACTTACCCTCTAGGTCGCGGCTCACATGTCCACTCCTCAGAGAAGCATTAGCTGACCTCAATCTAAATTAGGGCATCACTATCACTCTCTCTCTCTCTGCAGCAGTATGCTTATCTCAGCTGGTAATAGTTACTTGTTTGACATCTGTTTCTCCAACTGGACCAGGGGCTCCAGTAGGGTCAGGATCGGGTCACTTCTGGATGGCCAGCCCAGCCCGGGCTGCAGCCCTGCTCAGGGAACATGTCTTGAATGGATGGATGGAGCATGCAGAAAGGGGGCAGGATAGCTAAGGCACAGAGGCTCACAGAAGGGACATTTAAAGGAAGAGTAGCTACTTGGTGATAAATACCCCTTGAAGGAAATGTGAAGAAGGAAAGTTATCAGATTTGTTGGAAAGAAGATCATGGTAATTTCTTTTCTTTCTTTTTTTTTTTTTTTTTGGAGATGTAGTCTCACTCTGTTGCCCAGGCTAGAGTGCAGTGGCACAATCTCGGCTCACCGCCACCTCCGCCTCCCGGGTTCAAGCAAGTCTCCTATCTCAACCTCCCAAGTGGCTGAGATTACCAGCGCCCACCACCACGCCCAGCTAATTTTTGTATTTTTAGTAGAGATGGGGTTTCACCATGTTGCCCAGGCTGGTCTCGAATTCCTGACCTCAGGTGATCCATCCGCCTTGGCTTCCCAAAGTGCTGGGATTACAGGCGTGAGCCACTGCACCCAGCCAATCATGGTAATTTCTGAGATCACGCCAAATTGTAATGAGTTTGAGAAGAAAGATTATGACTACCACTGTGATTCCAAGACACTCTATGGCAAGGAAAGGGAAGAGCCAGGAGGCAACCAGAGTAGCTGCTTGGGAAAGGTCTATTGGTTTTAGACAGGGATATCTGAGGAGAAAGTGGGGAAGTAACAGAGCAGGCTCTAAGAGGAGGGGAGGAGCTAGATCCAGGATCCAGGTCACTGGCAGAGAGGCCCCTTTTAAGAGGAGAGGAAGCAAGGAGGAGAGGGCGGTGAGGCCAGGATGGAGAGAACTCACAAGTGGATGTGGGGAGGGCACAGGAGGGTGCTGCTGGAGCGCAGCAAGAGGACGGCAAGGCAGCAGCAGAGAGGGTAACGCCCAGGAGGTCAGAGAGCACGAACTGCATGAGAACCCAACCATCCAGCCTCTAGCGGCCCCCAGGAGCCCAGGCCCAGATGCAGAGAAAGCAGTTGGTGGGGTTCACCCAAGGCTGGAATCCAGCAACATGGGCATGGAGGAAGTCTCTGGAAATGAAGGGAAGGAGGGTGCTGGATATATCTAGCTGTCAGTACAGACCCTGTGGGCAGGGAGACATGTCACACCACGAGACCTGATGGGCCATGAGAATTGAGTCATGATGAAATCCAAGATGGAGGTAAAGCAGATTTCTGATATACAAAGTGCCATCAGAAGTAAAATGGCAATTGGAATAAGGTTAAAGACCAGCCTTACTAGTAGGAAGACTGAGAAACATGATCCAGAAGCCAGTGGCCATGAATGCTTTTCACCTTTAGCCTCACTAAGAAAATGTTTAGGTACATAATTTCTGTTGAGAGCTTACTGCAGTCTAGACATTCTCCTAGGCACTTAATTTTATCTCACTGAAACCCCATACTAACCTTATGAGTTGCACTATCATCTCACTTTACAGCTGGGAAAACCGAACGTGTATGGAGATATCCCAGATAAGCAGTAGAAATGAGCTGCAAATACAAGTCTCTCTTAGGATAACTGCAAAGTCACACGCAATTACAAAGAGCACACCAAGACCCAGATCATCTGAGTAAAGATCTTTTCCTGGGCTTCAGACCTCAGTTAGAGAAACTGAGGCATCACCAGCAGCTCCCGAGAGGGAGAAAGGAGACGAGATGAAGAGAAAAACAAAGACAGCTCCAAAAGCTTAGGCTGTCTCGGAAGAGAAGCAACCAGTAGTCCCAAAAGCCCTGTACACAGCCATGAAAGCTGAGATCGGGGCAAAAAACCCAGGGCCAGACAACTCAGCTGAGGAGAGGCTCCCCCAGTACTCCCGGGCCACCTCACAGCCCCACAGCACCCAGGCTAACCATGCTGTCCTTGGTGCCAGCAGAGCGCTGCCTGTGCAGCCACGGATTAAATAAAATGTCCTGAAGTGGCAAAGCCCACTCCTCCAGAGTGAAGATTAAGGAAGCACTGCAAACAATCAAGAAGGGGAAAGGAAAAAAAAGGAAAACCTGCCACATGCCAGGCTGCCTGGAGTTAACAGCCCTACATATTTCTCATCAAAAACCTCTTTGGAAGAGGTTAAGCACACAATAGGCTATCGAAAGCACCCGCCTCGCGGCTGCTTGAAATTCCACACATGTGACATGGCGGTGTATTTCTATTAATGTCCAGTGTGTGTCAGCACGAAGATAAGGTGCCGACATCATGTCCAACCAGTCAGCTAGAGAATGGGCCCCGTGTTCAACATTGTCTGACACCTGGGAGCCCCAAGAACAGAGGCTCTTGGGCGGATCCTGCCCTGGATGCACTCGCACACCAAGCGCCACTGCTGCCAGGGGAGATGTAGAGAAGGAGCAGGCCCAAGGCAAGGCAGGGCTGCCAGGCCTCCTGGGAACCACTACACACAAGCAGAAAAAACACCAGAGGCTGTATGTGTTAGGGAAGGCACCCAATCAACAGGGGAAGAGGAGAGAGAGCAGGGAGTCTGCATCAAGAAGAGGAAAGTCATGACTTTCCCAGCAAGGCTGCCCAGGCCATGCCCGCTGTGCGAGGCTGATGTGCAGGTGCTCCCTTCCCTGTGGGCACAAGCGCAGAGGCAAAGGCTCCCAGTAGAAGCCACTCCACAGAGACTGTCACTCCCAGTGTGTCTAGTCCCAGCGGCCTCAGAGCTTTGTTACCTGATACGTGTCATGCAAAAGGCTTTGCCACATACCTCTACTCTCCTCAGCAATACCCCTAAGCCACCCTGCCCAGCCACCCAAGTCCTAGCCAAGAACAGAGTACCAGAATCCTCCAGAGAAGCCTCGCCAAGATTTGATAAGGAAGGAGGAGATGCCACCAAGTGTAGGGGGCAGGGAGTGACTTGACTCTGCTAAGAACACACCCAAGTGGGCAGGAAGCCAAGCACCCAGGGTTCCCTACCCACTTAGCCTCACAAGCCCAAGGTCAGTGAAACAAGCCAGTCCTGGCATCAGCAAGAATGCAAGCCCAGAGACAGCAGCCCTGAATAGCTGTATCTCCTCTCCAAGCACAAATTAACCTTAAGAGTTAGGAAAGAACAACTAGTGGGATCTGGAAGGTCTGTTTTAGAATTAAGGCTACCTGGTGGGGAGGGGTGTACTCAGGGGCCTCCGAAGCCTGAAGCCAACCCAGGTGGAGGGTTAGAACATTAGCAACCTGGTAACAGCCAGCATTCCTGCACTCAAAAGCACTCTGTTCGCTGTCCCTTTTTTGCCATGGTGGAAAATCACTACCCACTTCTATCCTTTAGACTCTATTAGTCACCCGTGTAGCTCCTCTCCTAGTGCATTTTGGGGGAATTTGGCATAACAGAAAGGCAAGAATGTATTGACCACCTTCCATCTGCCAGACCATGTGCTGAAGGCTTTGCTCACATATTATGAAAGCATGCTAACAACTCCAGGAGAGGTGTGCCATTTGACATGTGAGGAAACTGAGGCTTGGTTAAATAATGGGTCCAGGGTCACAGAGACAGTACCTGGGGCATCTGAGCCCAGGTGTAACAGAGTCCGGACGCTGGGCTTCGCTAAGCCACAAGGCTATGGAAAGTGCCCTCGCCACCTGACCAGCATCCAGTCCCTCTTCCCTCTTCTTTAATAACATAATCCTGATTTTGTTTGGGGCAGTCACGTGTCCAGGTAAAACTGCTCACTATCCCAGCCCCCCTTTTGCAGCTAGAGGTGGCCCTGCGACACAGTTCTGCCAACGAGAATCCCAGGGAAGAGTGTCCCTCCCACACCCATATAAAATAATAAAACTTCACTAGAACAAGGCTCTCAGCCCTTCCTTCTTCCTGACTGGAAAATTGATGTGATGGCTGAAGGCACAGCAGCCCTCTGCCACCACGAGGAGAGCTGCACTGAGGACTGCCAGTCAAAAAGACAGGAGGTCCCAGCCTGGCCAACATGGTGAAACCCTGTCTCTACTAAAAATATAAAAATTAGCCAGGTGTGGTGGTGCACGCCGGTAGTCCCAGCTACTGGGGAGGCTGAGGCAGGAGAATCACTTGAACCCAGGAGGCGGAGGTTGCAGTGAGCTGAGATCGCACCACTGCACTCCAGCCTGGGTGTCAGAATGAGACTCTGTCTCGGGGAGAAAAAAAAAATACAGGAAGTGATTGGATCCCTCTGAGGCACGAAGCTACCATAACCACCTGGGATGGCTGCCCCTGGTGTCTTGTTCATGGGAAGAATACACTTCCACTTTAAGCCACTGCCAACTGGGCTTCCATTACTCACAGCGAAAGCTCCTCCTAGCTGGTGCATGTATTGGTCTACCCAAGTGCACTCAGCTCATAGCCAACACACAGGAGATAGGGCCCTGGCTCACCCACCAAGTAGACAAAGGTAAGGGAAAGAATCGGACTTTTCTCCGGCAAACACTTGTTGATGTTTCTCAGCCAAATAACCCTTTTCGATTCTATACCTTGCCAGTAGCCAGCAATGGCATCTCCCCAAGAGGGCAAACACAATCGGCTTGACAAATTGAAAACATTTTTCCACAAAAAGGAAAAAGCAGAATGGTAGCTCCCCAAAAACCATGTGAATAAATTGCATAAATAGACTTAAAATAACCAAGACCCTCCCCTCTCCCCAGCCCTACTGGCATCCTAGAGGCAAGCATAGAAGTGGGAAGGCACCAGCCCAATTTCACTCTGGCAGGAGAGAAAAGGAAAATATACTGCTGTCAGGTTGTCCTAGGGCTGTAAGGGCTGCCCCACTTGATCCACACACAGAAGAGTGGCAGGGCTGGTGGGCACTGACCCGAAGGAAGAGGAGCAGGGGTACAGCAAGCATGGCAGCAGAAGGGGTGGTGCTACTTCCTCTGACTACCTGTGCCCTCACTGCCAGCGCATACCATCTGATGCGAGCCAGGAGGGATGGCACCGATCCAATCAGGTTTCCCTACAGTATTAGGTTCACATATGACCACGTAAGACCTCTGTTCAAAACAAGAAACCCCAAAACTCTCAGACTGGCCTGGACTTCTCTCAAGAACAAAGTAGGAAGTCAGGGACGGTGTCACCTGCTGCTCCAATGCCACTCTCAGATGGCTCAGATCACCCCTCCAGTTGGTGCAATTTTCAAGGAACCCTGCTGCTCTGTTCCCTTGGGCTCCAGTGGGCACTCAGAGGCCAAGGAGCCTAGCTGAGGTCGGCAGCCTGGACCCTCAAGAGGCTGAAGAGAAAGCACTTCTGCACAGTTTCTCCAGCCCCCAGCCCCAGCTGTCAGCCTCTTTAGTCATCCCTGGTGCTAACAGACATTTTCAGAGACATGCGATCTGCTAATTAGAAGCAGTGACACCAGGAATGGAACCGCAATCAGCCATTTGCCTAACAAAGTTAGCAGCTAATGAGGATGTCCAGCTTCTGTCAGCACACAGCAGAGGTCGCCTGAGCCAGGCACCATAGCCAGAGAAAAGAAAACTGAAGGCATCCGCAGACCTGTGATTTGGTAATGGGGGAGGCTCCACAAAATCCAAATAAGCCCAGGTTGCAAAACCCACGTGTCCTTCCAGCTTCTTAAACAAAGAATACACATGCACATCTCCTGCTACTCAAAAAATGTTGGGCTCCCCCTTCCTACAGCAGGGCCATTCTAGAACAGCGAGATTCTGAAATCCCCACACTTGAATCTGAGCAGTCCACAGAGTAACAGCTTTCTTTAAAGAGGAGGAGTCCACAAGCTCCCCATAGGGTTCAAAACAGCTAGAGACTGCGTTTCACCTTCTCCTTGCTCAATGACACCACACAGGCCAGCTTGTCCTGATGAACACCCTCCCCCAGGCACCTCTCCACCCAACCCCACATCTTCCCCCTAGTCCTTCTCCCCACTACCAGGGTGACCACCACCTATCTGATGGTTAGAAATGTATGAAACAGTTGAGGGAAAAACAGGATTTCTTCCACCCCAAATATCTTAGTCCATTTTCTCTTGCTTATAACAGAGGATCTGAAACTGGGTCATTGATAAAGAAAAAGAATTTATTTCTCATAGTTCTAGAGGCTGAGAAGTCCAAGTCATGGGGCTACACCTGATGGGAACCTTCTTGCTAGCTGGGACTCTCTGAGAAGTCCTGAGGTGGTGCATGGCATCAAGTGGTGAGGGGGCTGAGTGTGCTCTCTCAGGTTTCCCTTCCTTTTCCTACAAAGTTGCCAGTCCCGCTCTCATGGTAACTCCTTAATCCATCAACTCATGAATTTACAACTGGATTCAATCCATTCATCATGGCAGAGCCCTCATGACCCAATCACCTCTCAATACTGCCACACTGGGGATTAAATTTCCACATGAGTTTTGAAGGGGACAAATATTCAAATCATAATACCAAGGATACCATCACAATGCACCTAATGAAGTGGACAGGAAACAAGAACACAACAGTTTTCTTAGGGGAGATACCGGAAGCTCAGCCCACAGGTCTATTGGGCCCACCTGGCAGCAGTAAGTAGTAACCAGACCAGCAGCAGCCCTCCTGAGAGTCCCACAAGCCCTTGAGAAGGTTTCTTTCGCTTCTGCTGCATGCCTCCAGTATGACCTGGGCTGTGGCTACCGCTGCTGCAAAGAATTGAGGCTTTGGGTTCTCACATAAGCTGAGCTATTGCTGAATGCAGTGAGTGCCACTCGGTATCACCTGCATCCCACAGCCATCCCTTTGGATTTGGGATCAGAGGTCTTACTACTATCCCCTAAAACGCTGAACCCAGATGGCCTGGATCCCTCACCAAGGGAGTGGTAACACAGACAGCAGATTCTCTTCTCTAGCAGACCCTGGCAGAGAAAAGAGCATCTGTTTCTCTTAGAGGTCAATAAGCCCAACAAAGCTATTCATCTAGGCAGGAGCTGCATCAGGGAGAGGGAGACAAAGCAGGGGAAGCGATCAGAATCACCTGGTACACTTTTCAAACAGTACAGCCTCCTGGCCTGAGGACCACAGGGAGCCACATCCCTGGCAGGAACACTTCACATCCCTGGGGTGACTAGACTGCAAAAAGGGCCAAAAAACACTCTGGGGTCAATGGCTCCCGGCATTGGTCCAGGCACCAGCTTTGGGCTTGCTGCACCAGAATCACATGGGAGGCTGTTAGAAATACATATTCCAGGATCACAGCATCCAAGAGTCTTATCCAGTTGTTTCAGTATCGGATCCAAATATCTGCATTTTTAACAAGTTCCCAGGTGATCCAGATGCACAGCCAGGTGTGGAAGTCAGGCAGTGAGATGAACAGAGAGCCAGGCGACACAGGCAAAAGGGTCTTTCAACAGCAGGTTGAGTAGGAGCAGCCTCATTCCACACCCACACCATACCTCTAGGATGCTCCATGGCATCTGGCCATCAATAAAGTGTTTCTAGGACCCCCACATGACTTCAGCTTCTCTCTCCAGAGAACCAGTCAGAAGCTACATGAACCTCACTTGTTTCTTGACTCCACATCCTTTAAAAAAAAAAAAAATCACTGATTTGTTTTAAGAATGAGTTCACATCAATTCTGTCATGGAGACATGGGTGGAAGTGAAGGAGGAAGAGTAAATCCTAACTTTCCCAACGGCGCACAGCACCGCCTGCCCCTCACCTTGCAGGTAAGGCAGCATCATAGAAACACGAAGGAACCACAGTGATGGAGGCCGTCTGAACACAGCTGCAGCCTCACAGCCCGTGTTTGTCCAATACACCACTCTAGGATAACATTTCTAACATTTTGTGACACCAGGCACTGTACATATATGTTCCTCATTTGGTCCTCACCACAACCCGGCCAAGGCAGGCATCACTACTGCAGCAGTGATGAACAGAGGGCCATCCCTGGACACAGATGCCAGACTCTCAATCCCATGACCGAACACCATGTCTGGTTTCTACAGCCTTCCTCCACCCTCAGTTTAGATAAAATATACAGGAAATAAATCAAAGTTCATTTTTGGTGTGTGATCAACTAAAAGGATTAAGCCAGTTTTCATGTAAGCTTATCTACAGTTTTCCTTTCTCCAAAATTTGTCACATCATATAACCACCAAGGCCAGGTTAAGTGGGAACCCAGGAGGCCTCACAGTGTCCCTTTCAACTAATTATTCCAATTCTCTAAACTATAACCTGCCACCCTTGTTCTCTGAGCAAATGTGAAGGTGAATGGGGCATGCAGATGGGCAGATGTGTGGCACAGCCCTTTCTACCCAGTGTGTGGACCCCTGCATATTCTATGGAAGGATTAGCCCTGTACGTTAGCAGCCATGTGGGCCTGGACATTCAGAGCAGGAGTGAGGTCAGTCCCATCACTTTGGCCTTTTCATTTTCTTTGGGGTGTGAAGGGTGCTCTAAAGGTGATGACAACAAACAGGGTGCACTAACTCTGGTATCAGTTATGAGAATTTTCTTAATTATTTTCTTAAAGATAAAGCAGGAGAACTGAATGAGACACCTTCCCTCCACACATTCACCCAAGGCACCAGTGCACAGGGCCTGCTGAAGTCTGTGAGCAGTGCAGCAGAATGGAGAGAAAGCCCATAGGCACTCCAGGCCTTCCACTGACCACCAAGCAACAGTAGTCTGCAGCTGCAGGAGGGACAAGGAAGGACCCTCAATCACAGACAAGTAGGGCCTATAAAATAGTCTGGTGGACAGTCAGGAAAACTTAGATGAACCCTTCAGGTACTCAGGTCCTAAGCCCTGACAAACAGAATGGGTTTGATCCCACCCTCACATATCATATTAATAGTTTGAAGCTGAGGCAACACTACAGCCCACATTCTACTCAACTAGGCTACTCAACCTCCCACACTAATAGCCTGTCAAAAGAAGGAGAATGGCCATTTCTGGGCATAAACACTATTTTCCTCAGTCTCTACTGGTCTCCTGCATATGATGACCAGCACCAATCAAAAACTACAAAGCACATAAAACTGCAAGCAAATGTGACCCAGTATCAAGAGAGAAAATAGTCAACAGAACCAAACCCAGAGGTGACCAAGGTGTTGGAACTGTCAAATCGAGACTATGTTTAGAGGATCTGCAGGTGGGCAACATATGTAAAGAGATGGGGTATTTCAGCAGAGAAACAGAAACTATTAAAAAAAAGCCAAATGAAAAAAGAACCAGGAATTAAAGTAGAAGTTAATGACTTTTCCCATACAGCCCACTGGGCTGTCTCCAGAAAAATCCTCATTTTACATATCAGAAGACTGAAGTTGTCAAATACCAAGACAAGAAACCTCTCACAAGAAATAATAGCCACTAAGCAACTTGGACCACCACCAGTGCTCCCACCCGCTAGTTTCTTGAGACACCTGGGTACTCAGAGAGACTTAAAAAGTTAAAATCTCTGGAGCTGCATAGTCTAGTCCAGGAGAGGTTTTTTGCCCACCAGTCAAATCCAGTACACAGTCTCTTTTTGTATGGCCTCTGAGCTAAGTATGGTTTTTACATTTTTTAGGGTTGTAACAACAACAACAACAAAGAATATGTGGCAAAGACCACATGTGACTGCAAAGAGTAAAATATTTACTATCTGGCTCTTTATAGAAAATGTTTGTCAACCTCTGATCTAATCAAAAGACTAAGCTCAGTAGACAAAAGAAGAGAAGAAAAAGTAAAACAAGGAAGTAAAGAAAGGGGCTATGGATGTCATGATTTTTTTCTCCCATTTATGCCTTTTACCAGTCATCTGAGCACAGGCAATGCAGATCTCCACAGGATTTTCAGATCTCCACATAACACTCACACTGGAGGAGGTATAAGGGACAAGGCCACCAGAGTCTCCAGATCACTAAACTTCTAAAACAGCCATGCCAAACAGCTAGACCCAGATATCAGGACTGCCTTGGCTGAATGTCAGGTAGTATACTTCACAACCTCTGACCAGAATTCCCAAAGCCCACTCTCTCCCTTGTTCTAAGAAAGATAAACCTAAAGTCTGTAAGACTCTGACTAGGAGACAAACATCTTTTTAGTTGACTCCCAAATATCATTATAATGAAAGCCTTTTTAAACTTTGTTTTGTTTTGTTTTATTGCTTGAAAAGGGTCAGACCTTTGAATTGTCACCCATTCTATAGAAGGCTGTGATGGGTGCTTGCTTCCAACTATTAGCAATGGGGCACTGCAATGGGATCACGAGGGAAAGATAACAGACGACTGCACAGCGGGCTTCAAAGCAGTAACACATCCAAACCCTCACCCACTCAAGATCTGCCATTTAATCACCATTCACTGCCTGTCTAGAATTTGCTCAGCACTACAAAGACCAAAATGATCACACCACAGTTCTTATTCTCAAGGAGTTTATAATCTGAGGAACAAGACAATAAAAATGTAGGAGAGGACTGTTAGAAAGGCTACAGCTGTAGTAAAACCAAAATCAATCCTCCACCTCCCTCATAATTTTAGAAAATTGCAATTCAAAAACTTTGAACATCTTAAAGTCATGATACAGTCGGCCACGGGGTATTGGTTCCAGGACCCTCCACAGATGCCAGAATCTGTGGATGCTCAAGCCTCTTACATAAAACGACATAGTACAGTGAGCCCTCTGTATCTGTGGACTTCGATCCACAGTGGGTTGAATCTGCAGATACGGAAACCCGTGGACAGGGAGGGCCAACTGTATCCAGTTCACATAGCTAAGGTGGCAGCTACCTGGAGCATCTGGGCATTGAAGAGAATGAAATAGTAAGAGATCAAAAGTCCTCTGCCACCAGGAGAACAGGACAGGACAGCTACTCTACTGGTGGGATCCTTAGGTTAGAGGGGCACATCCAGGGACGGAAGCACTCTTGTTACCAAATCTTCAGTGGGAGGATTTGACCTTAGCTTCTTGATTTGCCACTGAAGTATTTTCCTAGTGATCAATGTCCAGCTGTCTCCTATTTATCTCTTTTGAGGTTCAGAAAACCATTCCACAGAGCTCCCCATCAGACTTTCAGGATGTCGTTCCACAACCGCACCTACACTGTGGGCCCCTCTAGCCTCCCCACCGCCACACCCTGCCGCTTCCTATAATCCAGCCAAAGGCCTCATCCTCCCCAAATGCGTGGCCTTTGCTCAAGAGTGCCCCCTATCTGCAGCATCCTTCCTCCCTCCTCTCCACCTGGCAAATTCTATTCATTCTTCAAGATCAAGCTCACATTTCACCTCCTCTTAGAATTCATTCCCACCCTACCAGGAAGTATCAGGTGGTACTGCCTCCTTGCTCCTCGAGTGTCTTCCTGTCCCTCTGGGATGACCCTTGCAACGCTATGTGGTCACTTCTGAGAATGTTTAATTCTCCTAATAAACACATCTTCTCAAGGTCAGAAGCTGTCTCTTATTTCCATTTATTAGGAAACTAACCCAGTGCCTAACATATAACAGGAATACAGAGTATGTGTGTGTGCATTTGTGTGCATATATATATATATATATATATATATATACTCACACATCATAAAATAATAAAAGAATTGCTCAGCAACAAAGAAAAGAAAGTTTTTGCTTTCTTGGGTTTTTAGATGGAATCTCACCGTGTCGCCCAGGCTGGAGTGCAATGGCGCGATTCAGCTCACTGCAACCTCCGCCTCCAAGGTTCAAGTGATTCTCCTGCCTCAGCCTCCCAAGTAGCTGGGATTCCAGGCATGCACCACCACGCCCAGCTAATTTTGTATTTTTACTGGAGATGGGGTTTCACCATGTTGGTCAGGCTGGTCTCGAACTCCTGACCTCAAGTGATCCACCCACCTTAGCCTCCCAAAGTGCTGGTATTACAGGTGTGAGCCACCGCGCCCAGCCAAGAAAGTTTTTGCTTTCTATCAGGTGTACTGTGTTATTACATACCTAATAATATGTGTCAGGAAGCAACAGGCAAGGTTGTAAATCTCATTCTCACCTAAAATAAAGCCTCACCCAGGACTTGATTACTCCATCCATTTGATTTTTAAGACTCCACCCATCAGAAGACTGAGATCAACAGCATTGTTCTTTTTATTTCTTCCCAGAATGTTTGATTTGGACTCCTACTTTCTCCATCAACTCAGAGGGAGAAACACCTCTCACAGGATCCAGTGACACCCATGGCCTTCACTCAGACCAGAACCAGGGCACCACCAGTGACAGCAAACACACATTGACACGCACAGAACAGTTCATCACTGCTGCACTAGATGGGAAAGGGCAACACTTCTGTCATCAGAAGTAGGTCAGAAAAATTATTACCTTTCCTTGTCATTAGTTTTATAACTTTTCCCAATAATAAGATGGACCAATCCCTTACGCAGAAGAGGGTTTTAAAATCAATATTGGAAAAAGTCAGAGGCAAGTGAACAGGGTGGAAGAGCACATTACATATTAAGCGGCACTCAGTACAACAGGAAATCCTCTAGATGAGGCTACAGGTTCACAGGGAGGGCTACAGGGGTAGCCAAGAAGGCACCTAGGAGGAGTGGGCAGACAACTCATTCTGCTGGCGACCATGCAAGTTCCATCTCAGGACCAACCCTCCTGGAGGGCTAGAAGGATGTGCTGTGATCCACACACTGCCACACCACCAGTCCCTTCAGCACTCCACGCAGCAGGCTGCCAACTAGCCACCTCCTTCAACCTTTCCATGCGGAAGATGCAGGAGAGGAAAGAAAAATTTCCCTGCTTTTGTTAGGTTCTTCTCTCCATCTTTCTCCTCTTATTTAAATCTTCCAGAATATAGTTTTGAAAATACAGTTTTACCTCCACTAAAAGCACTCCCCAACCATACCAACCCAAAGGGAGCCCCCCTTCTTTAGAAGCAATGGCCATAGCATCTGCTCAGCATTTAGTTGACTGCCTTGGTTATCTGTTAACTTACAGAACAATGCCTAGTACTATCTTCCCTTCTCCTCTGTTTGTACTGAGTATTGAATATGGTTGTACACCTTCAACATCATCTTCTGTAGCACCTCCTATAGGAGATGCCTTTCC